>NC_000009.12:106705400-106856915 GCF_000001405.40 Homo sapiens
GTGTATATGTGCCACATTTTCTTAATCCAGTCTATCATTGTTGGACATTTGGGTTGGTTCCAAGTCTTTGCTATTGTGAATAGTGCTGCAATAAACATACATGTGCATGTGTCTTTATAGCAGCATCCTGTTAAAATTTTCTAACTCAGCTGTCTTTACCATTCTCTCCTGTGGGAAGAACCAATGGACTGTATGTTAAGCAATCTTCTCCAAAGGCTATGACTTCTGCTAACCTTCCTTGATTACATTCTCTCATTAAATTAGGGTTCTCAGTCAAACAAAATGTGATGCCAGAAGTCATGGTGCTCATCATTGGTGGCTTCATCCCTTTCCTCCTCTCTGTGTGGGTTCCATGACACAGAAGCCTGATGCAGACTAATGGGTATCCTGAATGGATTGCTCTGAGGTCAAGAACCTTGTCTTACGCATCTTTGACTCCATATTCCACATCCTAGGTCATGGTACAAAAGACAGCATGGAATGAATGTCACTGTGAAGCATAAAAGAAAGGTTTACCTTTGCTTGTGAGCTCCTCTTTGCTTGTTAGCTCAAAACTCACAAACTGAAAGAAATGTGTCGATGAGTCTCTATGGAGGTAAAATCTGTAACCCATGTCCTGGCATATAAATATATGGGTTGTTTCTACAAAATGAGTCAATAGAAAGGAGCATGCTTATGCAATAAAGTTGCTCTGGAGGAAAAAAGTAAAGGAAGCAAGTGCTGATCCTCTGCATATGAAAATATTGTCACAATGAAGATGCACCAGTGAGGATGTCTTAACACTAAGGTATGGACCTTCAAGTGGCCTGACCAACTCATCCAATCGTCTACTCTCCAGAGGATGATCTTCACAGTCATATTCATCTGCAGATGAGTACCACCCCATGACTCTCAAACATGTGACCCCGTTCACCTGTATGAAACACCTTCAAGAGCAAATGTAAGTTTATCCCAATTCTCCACCCACTAGGTTTCATTAGAGAAAGCACATGGGTCTAAGAGTGATATAATTCATAAAAAGACACCCTTGAAGTCAATCTTATGTTCATTTATAAATTCCAGAATGTTAAATTATATTAATAACAAATCTTATGAATTTTTTATTCATTCATTTACTCCCTTCACAACTTTTTTTTTTTTTTTTGAGATGGAATTTTGCTCTTGTTGTCCAAACTGGAGTGCAATGGCTCAATCTTGCCTCACTGCAACCTCCATCTCCTGGGTTCAAGTGATCCTCCTGCCTCAGCCTCCCAAGTAGGTGAGATTACAGGCACGCCACCACACCCTGCTAATTTTTTGTATTTTTAGTAGAAATGGGGTGTCCCCATGTTAGCCAGGCTGGTCTTGAACTCCTGACCTCAGGTGATCCTCCCACCTCAGCTTCCCAAAGTACTAGGATTATAGGCGTGAGCCACCACACCTGGCCTCCCTTCACAACTCTTTTGACTTGTGACTCTTACCTGTCTTGACACTGTGAGTGTCAAGAATCCCGTAAGTAAAAAATCCTATTCCCTCATATACTCTGTTTTTATCTTCCTCCTACCTAGCTTGGGGGCCTTGGCTCTGTTTTTCACTTCTGGTATAGTTCCTACCTCTCGGAATATTTCATAGATTATTGTCATTTCCCCCACTTAAATTTCAGCACTTCCCAAAAATCTTGGCCTGAACTCACTTTCTGGTACTTGTTATTCTTGTTTTTTTTTTTTAAATATATATATATGATTCTTCTCCATCCAATAACCTCCACCCCCCCACCCACACACACCACCAGATCTATACCCTCAGGAACTAAACCTAATCACCAGTGTCAGAGGTGGAGGTGGGGGCAATTGGAGGGTGCGGAAGGTACCCCAAGGGCCTCAGGTGACCTAGAAGAAGCAGGATTTGGATGTTGCAGATGTCACAGGACAACTGATATCTCATTCTTCTGCCAGTGTATGTTCAAATCTCAGGAGTGAAAGGAACTTGAAAGTTCATCCATGTCTCCTCCTCTACACCAAAATATTAGCCATTAAGAAAAGATTAGCATTCCATGGTGTCCTCAGAGATCTCTGAAGTGGATTCCATCAACTCCCTTAGTAATGCATTCCAGAGGCTCATCTCACTCCGAGATATTTTCCTCATGCTGAACCTAAGTCCTGCTGGAAGCAACTTAAACCATCCCCCTTTGGCCTGACTTTGTGTGGAAAAAAAAGAAAGCTCTTTGCCACTGTCCTTGCAGGGTCCCTTCATGGATTCTTTGGCTTCTCCAGGCACTTCATGTATTAGTTAAAATGAGAGCAAAATGGAGACTGGGAGAGCAAGAGATGGAGAGAGAGAGGTCACACAGCAATGCTCATCTCGCCCTCTCTGGTCAACGTTTCAGAAGCACCAAGGCCCTGGGTTTGACCCCGCTCTCCCTTCTCATTTCTTTGGCGAAGTCACATTCTCTTTTCACTGCCTGATGACCTACTTTTATCGCAAGCAAGGTTCTCCCCTTGAGAAGTGTAGATAACATGTAGCCCGACCCAGGGTGAATCAGCTGAGCTGCACAGCTGCTGTGACCTTTTCCTTCATCTCCTGGTAACATGAAGGAAGGAATAAAGATGATCAAGTTTTCTGCTGGCCAAACCTGCTTCGCTTTCCTGGCAAAAGGACACGAGGAGATAAAGTATATTCTTCTACCCGAGACAGTAAATAAAAGAAAGAATGTTGTGGGTGTACAGGACATTTGGAACATTTCATTTTTGTAATTGTGCATTCTGAGCTAAGAGCCACCACAAAAGATTGGTCTTTGGAAATTGAGGGGGTTTGTGGTTGTATTTCGGGGTTGCAGACCAGCCAGGATTCTGTTTCAATTTTCCCTGTTAGTCCTCAAGTTCTAGATTGAGGCCCCCAAAACCCTGGGACATCTGACCAGAGACAGCTGCCAACATTTTCCCATGATGAGCAATGGAATGTGTATTGGCCGAGCACGTTGATTTGCAAGGTGTTTATAAAGTTTCTTGATCCTTTTTTCCACCTGGTTTGCTTCCGGGACCCAGTTGGTGTATGGACTGCAGTGTGCCACTGGGAGCAAAGAAAAGGTATAAACATCATACTATCTTCCCTGGAAGCTGCTTTTGCATAATTCTATTTTCAAAATAATTTTGCTTTCTTTACTTTCTTTTCCTTTTTTTCTTTCCTCCCCACCCCCTACCCTGCCTCTGGTGTCTCTGTTTACACGGTTTAGACATTGGGAACATGTTGGTAGTTTTCCAGCTGCTTATGCACAAGTGTAATTGAGTCAGTTATTTTTAGTGATGTCAAGACTTTGAGAACAGAAATAAAAGAAACATTACACACTGACTAACTAAAATGTAAGAGAGTCCTCATCTGGAGGATGAAGATACAGTGGATGTGATTATTTTCAAATTGTAGGTTCTTCACTCTTCATTTCAAAACCAGATTTGGAACATAATTTGCTTTATTTTCAGCTGGTGGGGTCTCCGATCTCAAGTGAAATTATCCCGAGCTTTTTCATGGTTGATGGCTGACTGGCAGCTCCTCAGTTTCTTCCCCTTTAAGTGAGAGACCAACTTGGATTAGTTCCTGGATGGAAAAGATGAGGCTTAAAGACCTGTGGGATATCCTGAGATCCTTATAGAAAAAGGTCATTGGAACATTATCTGTCATTTAAAATGGAACAATTAAATAAGTGCAACAACCTATGTGTTTGATGACCAGCACATTCCAAGTATATTGTTACCTCACTTTCTATGCACCCACATTTATTTTGGGTGTAAATCAAACCTGGAATAGAAGCATTCTTTGTTCTTTACAAAGCTATCATGAAGTGCTAATGACATTGACACAGGTATTCTTTAAGTTCTTTCAATTCTCCCACCCCTAACGTTCCCTAAAAATATAACAACTATTAAAATCTTGACACAATATAACACAGGATATTTGAAAATAAAATTCTGATTAATAAAATTTGTTAATATTAATTGAGTGCACATGATACGCCAGGCATTATTCCAAGCAGAGTACATATTGGGAAGATAGAACTATAGATAAGGAAAGACATGAACAAAGATATTAAGTAATCTACCTAAGGATACACAGCTATTGTTCTGTGATCCCAGAGAGTCACTAGTGTCTTTATTTATGATCACTGTACTATACGCTGCTTATAGCAATGGAAAGGCAATCAAAAATGGGAGAAATATATGCAAGCTAGAAGGCAAAGAAGTAATATTCTTTACATATAAAGAACTTTTGCAAAACAATATGAAAAAAAGTCAGATGCCTCAGTAGAAAAATGGGCAAAAGATAATAGGCAATTCATACATAGAAGTGCAAAAATGGTTAATAAACTTTTAAATTATGAAACTACATTAAAATTAATGAAACATAAATGCAAACAATGATATCTGCTTGTTTTCTACTAGGCGAATTAGATTAGAAGAAAAAAATGCTGCTCAGTTTTGACAATGGTGTGAGAACAGCCCCTCTTAAACACCGTTAGTGTGGAGTATAGATTGTTGCAACATTTATGGAAAGAAAATTCTCAGTACATAAAGTCTTTAAAATAAGTTTAGTAATTTCTCTTCTAGATATTTATACTAAGTAAATAGTCAAGAGTGAAAACAAACATTCAGCTATAAAGCTATCAACCTCAGCATTATTTAAAATAATGGTACATCTTTATTGTAGAATACCAAACCATCATCAAAATGCATGCCCTTAAAAAATTAATATAAATGTAAGATTTCCATGATGTTATTAAATGAAAGAGGGGTTTGTATAAAGGTATGGACAATTTGATTCCAACATTATGAAAAGTGTATCTATGCATAAAAGAAACACTGGAATACTGGAGTGTAACCAAGTATTATTCCTGATGATCAGACAACTCATGATTCTCACTTTTTCTGAAACTTCCTCTTCAATGAAAATGTATTCTCTTATAATCAAAAAAATTTAAGTAATATTGGAGTAAATATAGGAAAACATAGATGTGCCCAGACATCTATAATGAATAAGCTCTTACAAATTACATTTGAGCACGGACTTCAGTTCTGAAAGTCCTGGTAGAGGAAGCAAAGGAGAAATAAAGTACATATTGTCATTTTTAATAGAAAGAATACAAATTTCTCTTTCAAAAACACTTTTTCCCTGATGTTAAATTAAAAGTGAATCGTATTGACTATAAGGGACCTTAGGTAACATATTGGACAATGTCTTCACTTTGTCCCTGTGAAAGACACAGAAACTTTGTTTAAATGTACAAGCTTCATAGTGGCCCACTAAAAAGAGTAAACGCTAAGGAAGTAAGAGTAAATAATAACTCAGAAAAGACATTTTTACAGGGAAGTAAGGTAAAGTAGTAAGCAAATTTTTTCCCTTGGAGTACCTAACCTCTTAATCCAGGGTTAGAGCTTAGAGGACCCTGAGGAACACTCTTGGGTCAAATGTCCAATGTTTTATATCTTCAAAGTCATTTAGAGTGAACTGTGTTAATTCAGTAAACAATACTGTAGGCATACAAACAACTCCAAGTTAAATAGGATAAAAATTACAGGACCTTGGGCCTCTAAGAATTCTCTACTGTAGTAAAAAGTGTTTCTCCATAATATAGAGTTAGCCTCAGATTAATGTGAAGAAAGTATAATTTAAAGGGATTTGTGCCAATTCTTCTCTCTGTAATATTTGCTCTATAAGACTTACTACAAAGATAGAAAATCAATGAATGATAACATTTTCAAACTTGAGAAGTTTTAGAGTTTCTGTCATCCACAGGCAATTAACTTTTGGAAAGCCATGAACACTTTGTAGATTGAACTCTCAAAAACTGTGGAGTCTTGCCCCAGAAATATACATACATGTGCCAAAATTGAAGAAGTTTAAGAATTCCCTCATGTTCATCCGTAATGCCCTAGGATAGGAACACCTGAATTAGTTTAACCTTGTTTTCCTGAGAAAACCTTAGAGCAAGATACATTATTCTACCTAATTGAACAGTATTTCTTACTTTTGCAAAATTAGTTCCGTCACATGAGTGAAGTAACTCATCCAAGATTATAAAGCAAATTAAATGGCAGATCCAGGATAAAAATCAGGTCTTCTAATTCCCAGGACAACCTTCCTTCTCCCACATCCTTTGTTCACTTAGGTTTTAAAACCTGCTCAGTTTCCCACAATCCTGGTAGAAAGGAGGATCTCTATAACACACTTAGGCAAATCCCATGGAGGACTGAGGTATCTCCTGGGAATGCAACACTGAGAAAACACTTGGAGTAAAGTTAGGTTAAAAGGGATATGCTAAGTCCCCAACACCAGTTTTTCAATGGACAAGAGTTCATGTCAGCATCATATCAAGTTTGGGCAGTTCTTTAATTAATCTTGGGCTGGTTTCTGATTATGGTCAAAACATCTGAAAGTCAAGACATTATAATGTCTTACTCTGGTCTGGGAAGCATTCATGAATCAAAGCCCTCCAGCAACCTCAGAAATAAGGGTGATGATATGTCTGAAAATAAGAAGGGTGAGGCATAAAGATCAACAATATCAGAGCCCTGCAACTTATTTTCATGGTATTAATAGTAAGTAATCATTATTTTCTTTATTTGCCAGGAGGAATCTGTGACTCATGAGCAAAAGAGAACTATAGGATGCTTCTGTGTCTGAAAACACAGACAGAAAATTTAGATCTTTCTGGTTATTTAACAAAACAACTAGGTTGAATAGTCCTATCAGTGGACTACATGGTTGTTTGTACACTGGTTTTGGCTGGAAAGTCCCCCATAACTACCCTGTTTATGGGAGTCCTACTCATCCTCCTAGGTCCATCTCACATCTCACGCTACCCAGAGACACTGCCCCGAGTATCCCAGCCCAGGCTCATCTCATTCTTCTGAGCAGCCCCTATGGTACTTTTACGTAGGACATAATTCAACAATATTTACCTACTGCTTAATAGATCTCACTAACTGCTTCATGAATCTTGTTTCTCCACCAGATTATAAGGTATTCAAAGGCCAGAATCATGTTCCCAGTGCTGCTTCCTACTGTGCACTCTGATGGTATTCAAAACTTGTTTGTTGATTGACCGATTAAAATGAGGATATGGCCACTGTCCTGCCTGAATCTGGTTCAGCAGCATTCTCTTCAGAACAGAGTTAAGCTTTCCTGCCTGATGAACCTCTGCTGATGCTTCAAATCTGGCTCAAAATGCTACGTCCTCTGCAACAGCCCCACTAACAGAAAAGTTCTGATAATTCCTCGTCATACCAAATAACATGATATTTCTAAGGAGATGATGCCCGGAAGAACAGATCCCCCCACTTCTAAAATGATTGTTTTAATCCAAAAGCGCATTTTAAATGGTAATCAACATTATCGTACTATCATCTTTACCTGAAAGCTAAGAAAGCCAGTGAAAATTTTCAGAGTAATAAGTTGAGAAGAACTTTAAACATCATTTTAGTTAAATTGTGGTCTAGCTATATAATAGAATACCATATAGCCATTCAAAATAAGATAGAAATATATGAAATGATGTCTAAAATATAATTTTACATGGTTAAAAAACAAGTTATAATTAAACAATACTGATAATTACATTTTTATTTTTAAAATGTGTGCATGAATGCACATATGCATGCATTCATATGTATTATATATGCGGAGAAAATATATGGAAGGATCCCTGAAAAAAAAAGTCATCATTCATGGTTCTCTCTGGCAGTGGAATTTGGAGCCTGGAAAAAGGAGGAGACCTAGGCCTTGAATGTCTCACTTTAGGCAATTTAGTACTGTTTTTCAGATTTTGCAGTAAGCATTGCCTTTATTACTTATGTCACGTTAGAGTCGATTTTTTTTAATTTTCAAAAAAATTACCAGTCCAACTCTTTAACAATGTAACCTCATCTGCCTCTCACTGCTCCTCCACACATTTGGGACCTCAGACAACTCATGTGACAGATGTTTCATCCATACTACTTTGACTAGTCCTCTTTTCTCATCCAGGAATGACCATCCGTCTCTGGTTTCTGTGGTGAACCCCTACTTGTCCTTCAAAGCCACTAAAAATCTCATCTCCTCTGTGATGCTCCCAGGATGAATTGTTTGCATTTCTATGTCCTCACAGAACTTTCCACATATCTCTACTGGAACAGAGATATATGTATATATGTGTAAAACTACATATGAAAATTGTATCTGTCTTCCTCACTACAGTGATTTCCTTCAGGCCAGATCTGTCTTTATTTTGTTCATTTTTGGCACTATCTTTTGCAACTCATGTGGAGCTTGGGACACAGTACTCACAGAAATGTTTGATGAATGCAAAAACTGCGCGTCTGATCCTGAGATCCCTTCTCTGCAACCTTGGACATTCCAAATACCCAGTCAATTCTAGGCAACAACCCAGTTGTTGGTATTCTCAATAAAATGTAGTTTTGGACTCCTAGCCAAAAGATAAAACATCCACTTGTATCCTGTGTATTAACTTCAGATAATTTGATATCACAGCCTACTATAAGTCAACTCAAGGGAACCCTTTTGATTGAATTAAGGAAATACAATAAAAATAGATGTTCCTATAGAAAACATCATGCAGAGGATCTCGGGCAGGCTTCTTGGATCAACTTGACATAAAATTAGGGTGTCGTTTCCATTAAGTCCATATGTAACAAATTTTCTTTCCATGTTGATATTCAATAACTGACCTGATCTGAATGACCTCCCTGTTGTCAATTACACATTGCTTCTGTGTGAGAACTTCATGTCCACTAGCTTCCATTACTGTTTACTGGACAGAAAAATGAATTCCAGGAGTCTCACCATCAATGTAAACTGAAATAAAACCAATAACTACAACATTGTAGAAATGGCTCTACATACCTTATCATATTTAACTCTCATAAATGTTTCAAGAGGTAGGAATTTTTAACCCTACCTATGAAGAAGAAAACTGAGGGCCAGGGAACTTAGGTAATTTATATCAGGTCACAGAGCTACTAAATGCTAAGGCCCAGATTAGACTCCATTCCCTCAGCTCTTCTCATTAAGATACGTGCATATGTCATGTTATTAAGCCACATGACCTCCACCTAAAAGATGTGTACCCATCCAATTTCAAATGAGAGACCTTTCATAGTCATTAAAACACCAAAAATGGAGGATTTGTTTTTGCTGTGGCAGTCACAGATTTTCTTCCTTTTCTATCTTCTTTATTATCTTTCTTATCTATGTATGACTATCTAGCCATACATGTATCTATTCATTCAACGTTCAATGAGCACCCACTATTAACCAGACATTGTAGCAAGCATTTGGAGTGAACCCGAAAAGATAAATATGGGTTTCTCTGTCCCCAAGGCAAGCTCATTGAGATCTAATGATTAGAACTCATTATCAGGTATAGTTAATTTTATCTGAGTAATTTTCTATTAAAATTGCTATGACTATGTGAATATTAATAACCAACATTTATTAAGGACTTATCTTCTAGGCATTGTTCTAAGAGTTTTACATGTAACTCATTTAATACTTACTGTAACTCCATACATTTGGTGATTTTTATTAATCCCACTTTAAAAATAAGGAAACTGAAATACAGAGAAATGTGATATCCAAGGTCAGACAGCTAAGAAATGGCAAAGCTAGGATTAAAGCCCAGGCTGTCTGAACACAGAATGCTTGACCAATTATCTTATACAGTCTCTCTATTTAATATAATGGGCGCTGACTCTGGGGTCACCAGGATGAAAAAGGCATCATTCTTACCCTCAAGGAGTTAATGAAAAAAGCAGGCAAATAAACAGGTAGAACAATACAGAGTAATTGTTAAGTGGGATGTAAGAGTAAAGGTAAGTGGGATGATAGGACGGGTGTGCAGGGAGGTGCAGGCACACAGAGAAGAGGTCCTGACAAAGTTTGCAATAACCCATCTACTATCCTTATGTGGACATAGCCCAGATTCTTCTCCTATGTCCAGGATTCATTCAGTGCCCAGAGATCTTGGTAAAGGAAAAAGATGGGAGAGGGAGAGACAAGAGGAACGATCAAGGAAAAGAGGGAGAAAAATCTTGAGAAAGGAGGCACATAAAAACGTTGCTTGCCCAACCATAGTGTTTTGTCTTTGTGAGGCATTCCTATACCTCATAAATGCATACATGCTTAGAAGAAAATGAGTAACTCTGGTCCTAATTGTTTCCCTACTCTTCTCCATGGTAGCACAAGAAACATAAACGTTCTCCCCTCTTCATGCCCCTCGGTTATCCTGAGAGGTAATATGATGAAAATTAGGGATCCTAGGAAAGAAAATGGACGAGTCCCTGCTACTCCAATATGTGGATGCACTCCCGATAAATCGTGTAAATTATTTGCTCAGCCTTTTACATTGAACTTTCAGGTTGTCTTTAGTTTTCTGCAATTATAAAAGATGCTAGATTGGTTATTTTTATACTTGCATTTTTGTACACCTTTTGACCATTTCCTAGAAAAGATCCCAGAATGGAATTACAAATTCAAAGGGTATATTCTTTTTTTAAACTCTTAATCCATATGGCAAAAACGCTTCCCAAAAAGTAGTGACAAATTATATCCCACGGAGTATATTTGGGAATGCTTATCCAATCACACTTTCCCCAGCATTACTATACTTTTAAAATCTTTATTAGAAAAAAATGTTTTTCATTTAACTTTCATTTTTGGATTACTAGTGAGGTTAAATATAGTTTATAAGTTTATTAATCAACAGTATTAATTAAAATAATGCATATAAACCTAGTAGATGCTCAATAAAGCAAGATTATTTTTTAATAATGAGTTCGAACATGATTTCATGGTTTCTGGCTATGTACATTTCTTCTTAGAATTTTAAATTTATTTATTTTTCTCATTTCCCTATTTGAAGTTTAGTGGTTTCTCTCAGTGAGCTTTTTATATATTAGGTATACCGATCCTTTGTTTTGAAAAAATGTCCAGGTTTTGAAGGATTATTGTCACTTTTGGAACAATGCTATATAAAGGCATTATGCTTTACAAAGATGACACTTTTTATTTGACTCACTGATAAGGAAACAGAGGCTTAAAATGTGTATGTGTTTCCTCTTTTTTAGGTAAAACCTTTTATACAGTCAAATGCGTAAATCTTACATGTACCATTTCATGAATTCTGACAAATGTACGCACCTGTGTCACACAAGTTTTTATTAAAATGTAGAATATTGTATCACTCTGAAAAATTCTTTTGCATGCTTTTCTAATCAATGTTGCCTTTGCCCTATCCCAACCTTGAAAGGAAACCATTGTCCTGGTTTAGAACTTCATATAAATGGAATCATACAACATGTACTTTTTTTTTATTCTGGTTTCTTTCACCCAGCATCATGCCTTGGAGATTTATTCATGCTGTTGTATCTGTCAATGGTATGGGATATTAAAAGTAATGGCAAAAACTGAAATTACTTTTGCACCAAACCTATGCAATGACATGAGTGGTTGTGGCCAAGTAATATTCCATTGTATGAATACACCAATTTGTTCATCCATTCACCTGTTGATGGATATCTGAGCTACTTCCAATTTTTTACTATAACAAATAAAGCTGACATAACATTCTTGTACGAGTATTTTGTGAATAAATGTTTTATTTCCTCTTGGACTTTATACATAGGATGGAATTGTTGAGTCATAGGGTATGTGCATGTGTAGTTTAATAAATAACTGCCAGATCTTTTTCCAAAGTTGTTGTACTCATTTTCCCTTCTTTAACAACACAGGAAAATGTGCAAATATTATTAAATTATTTTTAAAAGCAGTATAAACAACCACATGTATAGTATAACCTTGTTAACCTTATTATATACTATATATATATAGATAGATAGATATGCAAAAGGCTAGACAAATCTTTTCAAGTGTTAATAGAAATAATCTCTGAATACTAGGTTACAAATAATTTTCACTTTTTTTCTTGCATTTTTCTAACTTGCAACATCAGTATTACTTTAAGACAATATAAATTAGTTTTTCTAACTACAGGAAAAAGAAATGTCAGTAGACTACCGGATTAAAATACTCTCTTCTATCCAAAAAGGCCAAGAGATGCAAAGGATTAATCATGAACCCAGTTGCCCAGAGGTGGAAAAAAAAATCTGTTGTGGTAGACTGAAGAAGCAAGAAGTTATATGGTAAGGTTCATTCATAATTCACAAAACTGTTCATTGTGCAGGTCTTTTCTTGAATGCTTGAATTTGTGGTTAGGTAGAAGGACTTCTCTTCCCCTGCCTTTATTTATTCTCTGTGTTTATGTTGTGTTCCAGAGCTTTCTGCCTAGACAATAAGTCCTGTGTCTTGTTATTCTGAGGCAAGAACATAATAGATGCTCACTGTGTTTGTGGAAATACTGGACACTTCGTGGAAAGTGCATTTGACATGGTGGCCGTGTCTAAAACATAGTCATATCATTAATATCAATAATGTAGAAATTAAAGATACAATGGAATGCTTTTGCACAACATGAAAAATACCCAGTTACACATTGCATTGGAATGCAACTCCCCACTGCAGGCACAAGGAGGCTACTTAAACTTGAGAAACTACTTGGAAGCCATTCTCAGTGTGATTATTCTTTATCTTCAAACAGAAACTCAGATTACAAGGAGTAACTTTTCCCTCAAGGAACAGTATCAAAAAATTTTAAGTAGACCATATGGCATTTGTCAAATGAGAGGGGGGAGAAAATCTCCCACTTCTGAGGGATATTTATTTTACCTGTCAGGTCTTTAAAGGAGAGATTATATATAATATCTCTTTTAATCTTCACACGCAAAAAGGTGTTCAATCTGCCTACCTGTCTCTGTGGAAGTGTGAACCTAGGCAATAAAATTACTTTTCTCCCACAGCATAGCATAGCATAGTTAGATACTTTTTATGAAGCTACCCTAAAGCAGGATGTTGAGAACCATGTGCAGGGATTTCAAAGTTTACTTCTTCTTCTAACTGGAATGCTGTAAAATCAGAAACTTGTTAAACAGAAATAATATGGTAAAAAGAATGCAGATTCTGGAGCCAGAATCCTGCTTTGCTTCTTACTAACAATATGTCCTAGTACAAATCACTTAGCCTCTCTGTGATTTAGCTTCTTCATCAGTAAAATATTATCAAAATTGTAATTACTTCATATAGTTGCTGTGAAGACTGAGGGAGTAAAACTTTGTAAATGGATGAATTCTTGCTTAAAACCATGCCCAGCACATAGTACTTTTAACCAAAGTAAGTTATTATTATTATACTTCTTTAGTACATGTCATTCAGATGTTCAGAGAAGTATGATTCATTCAGAATGATTAAGGAAAAATCTGCTTGAATTAATGAAAAATGTAGATTATAAAATCCTTTTTTTAAAAATCCATCATGTTACTTTCAAAAAGATACAGATATTTAAACTAAAGCAACTAAAAAGTATTAATGCTAAAAGTTTCATAAGGGGCATACTTCAAAAAATGGGTAAGTTAACAGTTTGCTTATAAATGAACACGTCCTTTGAAAAGTGTCTTCTATTAAGTAGGGTAAGTATTCCATCACATCACACTATTTGCTTGGCTCCAGAACAATCATTTCCTCTACAGAAAGCAATTTCATAAAGTAAAAAAGCATCTTTAGGATAATTGATGCTAATCTCCCTCTTACTCAGGAAACCCTCATACCACCCAGGACTTGGTGTCACATGGATTCAGTGAAGAAAACTTACACTTCCATTTCAGTCCAGTCCCTCTTTAGAAAGTGCTTCCTTAGATTAGGCTGAACTCTTCTTAAAATGTCCACTCTCTGTCATTGTTTTGTGGAGTTCCACTGAATGAATCATTCCTCTTTGTTTTGATAACTGTTCAAGAATTTGAAGACAGCTGTTGTATGCTTCCCTGAAATCTTCTCCAAGTGTAACAGCCTCATTTTTTTTTGACTATTTTTCATTGGCATGACTTTAGACGCATCATCTACCTTGGTACCTTGGTCCTTTCCTTCTGGACTCTCTCTTGTTTGACTCTTTTCCTCCTATATTGGGGTTACCAGAACTGAACATGAAACTCTGGGCATATTCTGATTAAAGCCTTGCTTGTTCTGGACCCAAGATTGATCTTGATGTTTTGGTAGTAATATGACTCTCTTGACTTATACCAAGGTTAGCAGTACCACCCCCTCTTTTTTGTAGGGGTAAGGGGTATGTATTAGTCAGGGTTCTCCAGAGAAACAAAATCAATAGGGTGTGCGTGTGTGTGTGTGTGTGTGTGTGTGTGTGTGTACAGAAAGAAAGATTGAGAGACATAGTAATTCACAGGAATTGGCTTACACAACTACGGAGGTTGAGAAGTATGGACCGGGAATTGCTGATTGTACAGTTCCATCTGGGTCTGAAGGCTTGAAAAGCAAGAAAACTGGGTGCAAGTCCCATCCGAGTCTCCGTCAGAAAACTAGGAGAGCCATTGGTGTAAGTCCCAATATAAGTCTGAATCTGAAGGCAGGAGAAGAATGATGCCCCAGCTTAAAGACAGTCAGGCAAAGAGAGATTTTTTTTTTTTTTTTTTTTTTTTTTTTTTGAGATGGAGTCTCGCTCTGTCGCCCAGGCTGGAGTGCAGTGGCACGATCTCCGCTCACTGCAAGCTCCGCCTCCCGGGTTCACGTCATTCTCCTGCCTCAACCTCCCGAGTAGCTGGAACTACAGGCGCCCGCCATTCACTCCCGGCTAATTTTTTTGTATTTTTAGCAGAGACGGGGTTTCACGGTGTTAGCCAGGATGGTCTCGATTTCCTGACCTCGTGATCCACCCACCTCAGCCTCCCAAAGTGCTGGGATTACGGGCATGAGCTACCATGCCCGGCCTTTTTTTTTTTTTTTTTTTTTTTAACTCAGCCTTTTATTTTATTCAGGCTTCCAACAAACCAGATAAGGTCCTCCCACATTGAGAAGAGCAAAAATCTGCTTTACATGGCTTACCAATTCAAATGTTAATCTCATCTAGAAAAACCCAGAAATGTTTAACCAAATATGTGGTCAGTCCATGGCCCACTCAAGTTGATACAAAATTAACCATCACAGTGTGCTGTGTGCTGTGTGCTGTGTCAGCTATATCTTTCCTACCTTCTACCTTAAATATTTTTGCCGATCTACTACCGTTACAAGTATATTCATGTACTGTTACATGCATATGCATTTTACATCTACCCCTATTAGATTTTTAAAAATATTTTCCCTAGAGATTCATGTTTTGGGGATCTCAGATACTAGTTCCCTTATCATCATATTGGGTAGCATTGTGGAATTTCCACATATAATATGGCTCAATGAGTCTTCTTCTAATACAAAATATGAAACTGGGAACTACCAAGAAGACTATCATATAGAAAGAATGCTTGGTTTCCATCCATCCATTAATCGGTTGTTAATGAGGTGGTCATTCATTAGTTATTATCTATCTAATTGTAGCACCAGTTGCCATCATATTCATAAAGTCTTAAAGATCTGGAATAAAATTTTGTCATACGTTCTTCTATTTGTAGGATTTTATAATCTTTAGTCAAGTACAGACACATTAGAAACACTGAAATGTGGACATACTATGTCTTTAGCATTTCTCTTGTTGACTAGTTTTGCAACCTTACTGAAAAAGAAGTTAGTCTGGCATGACCAGTTCTCAGTGGACCCACTCTAGCCCCTAAGGTTCATAATCTATTTCTTTAATGATATTTTTGAGATTTTTGTCTAGGAACAAACTTTTAAGCCTATAATTAGTAGAATTTGCCCTCTTTCCTATAAATATCTATGTAATGCCTAATCAAGTCATAAGTGGATTAATTCATCATTTGTCTTCCCAAAGTTAAATCATACAGTTTATTAAAGCTTCATTATTGATCAAAGAATATTACTTCTTCATATCTTTGGGTGAATTAATTTATCTGCCCATGATTTTAGACTTGAGATTTCTTGGATATTAACTCAACCATGTAATATGTTTGTTATCACTACCAGATCGGAAAAAAAAATGGGGAGGGAAAATTAAAATGCCTCTTTTACCTAAAGGCAAAGGACCGAAGGAAATAATCTTGATTTTCTTTTTGTACAAGGTCTGTATAGCTCAGGAGCCTTCATTAAAACACTTGTCGGAGACCATTTTAAGTCTTCCCTACTCTGTAATCCCACCATGATAGGCTTAAACCTCACCAATATTCACATGTGTAAATCTGATTTTTCAGGATAGTAAGATTTGAAAGATATGCTGCATCAACAAATTAGAAAACTGGATTTCACAAACACACAAAATTGCTTTCATCAGGAGGTTTCTAAAACTGTTAGAAACCAAAAATACAGAACAAGAAGGAGCTTCAAAATATGACTGTAACCACAAGTTTATGTGCAGAAACAACGTGCCCTTTGGGACCCTTTGGCCATGTCTCTTGACTACAATTCTCTTCCTGTTTTGGGATTGATTTCAAGACTCCCTATTCTTCCTGTTCTTGCTTGGTTAAACGTTCTCATCACCCTGGTCTATTTCCTTGATTTCCTAGTTGATTATTTTCTGGCTCATGATGCAGACTTCCCTAAATTGGATTCTGGTCAAATTAACTTTTCTCCTCCAAACTTTGGTAGTGATCTTCCACCAGGAAGAAAAACATTTCCTTTCCTGGCTCAGAACAATCAATAATGCTCCTCCCAGAAAATGAATGTCAATGGCTGTCCTACTCTCCCTGCTGATGGCTCTCATACTTATTAGTCCATCTCACATTTTAAGCCTTTATTCTACAAATGAATTGGCAAAAACCAAGTCACTTTACATAAAAATGAGAATTACAGTAAAATTCAGCTTGTCTAATCTCAGCCCATTCAATCCATCTAGATGCACTACAATAGGACTAACTGTGTGATGATTTGGAAGAGCCAAGTTTTGTTTCTCTTTTTGTTTCTATTGTCCTTTGCCCTTAGTGAAGCTGTGGTATACCAATCTAGACAGCTTAGTGGCAAGCACTGAGGCAAAGGCTAATGTGTGCTGTGTTAAATTCAGCCCCTCTTCCACATACTATTTGGCTTTCGACTATGCAGATCACTGTGTCCACTACTATGATCTTCATAACACTAAACAGCCAATCACGGTATTCAAAAGACACCAAACAGCAGTCTCTTACGCAACGTTTGTGAGTGGTGAGGAGATAGTCTCTGCCTCAACAGACAGTCAGCTAAAACTGTGGAATGTAGGGAAATCATACTCCCTATGTTCCTTCAAGGGTCATATCAATGAAAAAAACTTTGTAGATCTGGCTTCCAATGGAGATTATATAGCTTGTGGAAGTGAGAATAACTCTCTCTACCTGTGCTATAAAGGACTTTCTAAGACCTTGCTAACTTTTAAGTTTGATACAGTCAAAAGTGTTCTGGACAAAGACCAAAAAGGAGATGATACAAATGAATACGTTAGTGCTGTGTGCTGGAGGGCACTATCAGATGGAGATTCCAATGTGCTGATTGCTGCTAACAGGGTACAATTAAGGTGCTAGAATTGGTATGAAGGGTTAACTCAAGTCAAATTGTACTTGATCCTGCTGAAATACATCTGCAGCTGACAATGAGAGAAGAAACAGAAAATGTCATGTAATGTCTCTCCCTAAAGTCATCAGGGTTTTGGGTTTGTTTTGAATATTTTTTCTTTTTCTCTTTTCCCTCCTTTATGACCTTTGGGACCTTGGGAATACCCAGCCAATTCTCCATCATCAATGTAACTCCATGGACATTGCTGCTCTGGGTGGTGTGGTTATCTAATTTTTGTGGTAGAGAAACAAATTCTTTTGAATAAAAATAACAACAAAAAATAAAAGTTTATTGAGGAAAAAGAAAAAAAAAGAAAAGCCATGTTAACTAAAGATCAGATCTCTGGAATTAATCTTAGTTGTACTCTCTGAGTCCATGGCAAACCATGTCTTCTCTTCAAGCCTCAGTTTTTCAATCTGTCTAAAAATATGGTTTGACCAGAAGGTTCTCAAGGTCCCCATTAACTTTCAAGTTCTTTGGATCTATGGATCTATTTTAAAGTTATTATTGATTAATAACATTCATGTGATAGCCTGATCCAAATATTAGCAGTATAGAGATGTAATCGCAACTTTGGAGGCAATGAAAGAATAGCAGTTCTTAAAGTAATCAAACCAATTTTTTTCTCTCTGTTTTTCCTGTTTGTTTTTCCAGTTCCCCAAATCTTAATGTATTCTGGTGAAGGAGGCACTCTTTCCTAGTGTTAATGGCAGTAAAGACTACTGCAAAATGTTATAACATTGCCTGTCCTCAACTGATCCAGTCCACATTTGCAGATGCAGGAGCTTGAGATAGTCACCCTAAATTCTGGATGCCTGTCCAAACCAAACCTCTAAGTTCTTGGACTTGGGCCCTTCTTTTAAGCTGAAATAAAGACTTGCACTTTCTTCCTGTCTCCAAAGATCTTCAAACTTTTGGGTAAAACCAACCCATAAACGCAAATAGACATCCTTTCACACAGAATGTACACCTGTACATAGGCTTATACATGTGCCAGTAACTAGAAACTTCATCATAGGTTCATCCACCCTTCCAAAACATCAATGGAAGGCCAATTTTCTAGAATGTGAGGATGTCAATTTAAAATGAGCTACATTAATGAGGTTTCCAGGAGGCTTCTAAGCTGTTCCAGTGATGGCTTTGGCTAGAGTGACCCACTGCATAGTTTTGCCCATGATCTGATCACAGACAGTTGTCTTTATTTATGTGCTGTGTGTGAATAGTGGAGACAGTTTGGCAGAGTTATGGATAAGAGATTTAACTGCCACATATCTTTAAATGCTAACAGCTTTTAACATTTTTTTCTATATAACATGCTATATTTATGAGACAATGAAGGGGTAGGGGTCTGAGGAAATAAAAATGAAGAGAGAATAAAGGAAAAGAACAGTAGGGAACTCTGGCCTTGATGGGACTGAAAATATTTTAGAACTCTCAATTCCATTCTGCTCTGAAAGCACCAGTTAGCTTTCCAAAAGTTTCCATTCATTATACTCCAGAGTTTGATGTAATCCAAAGTTTAAACAATATGTTCATTATATCTCTATTTACACACTCATTCAATCAGTAAACATACTTACTGAAAGTGTATTCTATCCAGGGCATTATATTAACCATTGTAGAAAGTTTAAAGGTATATAGGGCATAGCTCTATCTTTTGACATCTAACTGTCTAATGAGGAGATATAATAGATATGCATATGACTACAATACATCAGTCTGCATTGGCAATTAATTATAGAAGAGGCATTTTTAAATACACATTAGGATGTAAGAGAATGGAATCCCAGGAAGAGAGAAAAGCATGAGCAAAAATGTGGAGGCAAAAAGTACCAGGCTATTTTAAGGAATGACTGAATCACTGTGTTTGGGTGTTAGAGGAATGGAGGGGGAAAGTCTTGAAAAAGTATAAGCAGGCTGGGACGAGATATGAATGACTTTAAATCTTACACTGACGAGTCTGGCCTTTTTTACTAGAAATGAGAAATTAGTGATATTTAGAGCAGGGAAGAGCATGAGCAGAGTGTTGCTTTCAGAAGGAAGACTGATCTCAAGGCGAGGTGAAGGACTGATTGGAGTAAGAAAGCATAGCACCATAGTGACCAGTGAAGAGGCCCTTTCGGTTGACTCAGTGCAGGTAATAATGGCATCATCTAGGTGGATAAATATTGGAAGGCAAAAAATAATAATAACTACAAGAACAGACATAGGCCAATCAAACACCATATATGTAGAATGAGAGAGGAGTTATAGAAGACTCTGGAATTTTAAATGGGATGACAGGAACAATGTAGATCCATTGAGGGACAACTAGTAAGTGAGGGATGTTAATAGTCTTAATTTTAAACACGTAGGGAATTAGACAATATTTCTATATGTGCCTATGAGACATCTCCATTTTCAAACTTAGACTTGAAGTGGGAAATAAGAAAGTCTGGGGATAACTTCTATAAGAAAGTTTGTTTATAAACCCATTCTGAATTCCAAACAAGAAGGAAAATAGACGCACTTCGTGTTTTCTTTTTCTAGTCACCAATTAAACTGATGATCCAACACCATTTATTTCCATTGCCTTATCCACATTGCTGACAATCATAAAAACAGAGCCCAAAATGAGTCCATGAAGCATATCCCACCTCTGCTTGTACAAGACTGAAAGTGATAGCTTGAGAACAACCGGCAATGGAAGAAAACACACCCAGTATGGATTGAGAAGGCTAGTATCAAACCCAGAAAAGGACTTTCTATTATCAGTGAGGATGAGAATAAATGGCTCCCTAAGGAAATGGTATGTTCTCTTAATAGCTCACAAATTTTCCAGGTTAGTTTGATCAAGTGAAGCAGAGCTAGCAGGGATACAAATTATTGAAATGGTGGCAAAGATAAAGCTTCTATGTAAAATAAAATTTAAGATGCAAAGGAGATTAACAACTAGCTTTTTTAAGAGAATGAAGGAGGGGGCTTACAACTTGAAATATATCTGTTTATGTTCTTACTCCATTCCAGTATCCAATTCCTGAAGATCAGAAATAGGGAGGATTTGGTAAAACCCCCAGTCTCCATTTTCTATCTAGCCTGGCCCTGTGTTAATCTTTCACCCAGACTTCTTAATCCATACATCCACTGGGAGAAAAGCGTGTTAGAACAAATTGAGGAAGCCTGAGAGCGTCTCCTCACTTTCTGGCTGCCCTTCAGCAAATAGGGTTCTGCTAGGGACAGAAGCATGCACTCTATCTCCTATTTGGAGTTGGCTGTAGGAAAGAATCTGCACACATAGGCAAACTGCAACTCTAGCACACAGCTCTGGTTTGGTTCCAACTGAAGTCAGTTGTCCCATATCCTCTGATTGCAACACATTGTAGGGAAACCATCAGTGCTCTTCACTCAGATGTTGTCAGCCAAGACTGATCCCAAAATAACCATGATGGTCCCAGAGGGTGAATGGAACCCACACTTCCCTTGGTTTTCCAGTGACATTTAGGAAAGTTTTCCTCCAGCTTCAAAAGGTAACTTATCTAAGCAATGACTGGAGCGACTTCAAATTAATTAATGTTCATAGTTATTAACACCATAATTAAAAAGTTGGTCATTTGTTCCATTAATATGATATTAATGACACTGGTGATTCATAACATGAATCCCAATCTATATTTGCATCCCAGTTTATGATGGACAGCTCACTTCCACAGACATTGTCAACCCCATTTGCCGACTCAATTCTCTGTTTATGTTATCTCCATCTTCAGAGGAGAAGACCCAGTCTCAGAGAGGTTAAATGATTGTCCCAAAGTTTCACGGTTGCTAAGAGGCAGAACTGGGGCTTCAACCCAACTCTTCTAACTCTGAATCCCTTGCATTTTTTTCTCACTGCACCACAGAGTAATCATAGGGCATGTATATCAATTGGTGTGTGCACCAAGTCGAAAATCTCATTTAATTTCTAATTGTTCCAAACACACACTCACCACTGGGCTAGTTCTATTGGGGGGAAAAAAATCAGTGAGTCTGGTGGATTTTTTGTGGTTGTTGTATTAGTCAGGGTTCTCTCGAGGGACAGAACTAATGGAACATATATATATATATTCCATCTCTCTCTCTCTCTCTCTCTCTATATATATATATATATAGATGTATATATCTATACACAGAGCGAGAGAGAGAGAGACAGAGGAGTTTGTTAAGTATTAACTCACAAAATCACAGGGTCCCACAATAGGCCAGCTGCAGGCTGAGGAGCAAGGAGAGCTAGCACGAATTCCAAAACTGAAGAACTTAGAGTCCGATGTTCGAGGGCAGGAAGCATCCAGCATGGGAGAAAGATGTAGGCTGGGAAGCTATGCTAGTCTCTCATTTCACATTTTTCTGCCTGCTTATATTCTAGCTGTGCTGGCAGCTGATTAGATGGTGCCCACCCAGATTAAGGATGGGTCTGCCTTACCCAGCCCACTAATTCAAATGTTAACCTCCCTTGGTAAAACCCTCACAGACACACCCAGGGTCAATACTTTGTATCCTTCAATCTGATCAAGCTGACACCCAGTATTAACCATCATAGTAGTTGTTTTTCTCATAATATAGTCAAAATGCCCAGTTGAGCCAGTAAAGTTTTTCCACCTTGAGTGGATTACTTGGCCATGTGTTCATTCACTATAAAACAAATATTTACTGAATGCCTACTATGTTTTACACATAATGCTAAAATTTTCACGCAGTTTTCTCCCTGTGACTTAGGTTAAGTAGTTCATGCAAATTGAAAATGTTAATGTTATACACTTCTTTTTGTACTTATTTTCTAGTGTGATAGTCATTTTTAGGCTAGTAAACCTTCCTCATTTCTCCTCAGGAGAAAAAAAAACAATGTATTTGCATTAAGGAGGTTCCCCCTCATTTTTCAGTTATGTTCATCTCTATGACCCACTTATTTAGGTTCTTTGGAAAAGGAGAATTCACCCTGTGTGGGTCACCATATTAATTACTATTACAAGGAGCTGATTTATGGCCACAGAGCCCTTGCAGGTGTTTGAGAATGGTGCTCCACAATGGGAAATGGAAACAGGGTAATCAATAACCACCCTGAGACTCCTGCTTTAAGGCTGTCCTTGAAGGTGTGCTGTGGATCTTTTTCCAGCACGTCTGAAGAGCAATCCTTTTGCCAGCAAGGAGCCCTACGGGAGGAGAAGTAAATATTGTCTTTAGACATGGCACAAGGACCAAAGACACTGCCAAGACATCAATACTGAGATATCACAGAGGGCTTGTTGGTGGAGGAGGGAGGCTGGTCACAGGCGGGAAGGTGAGATTTCTTCTTTTGACTGCTGAGATCACTGGACTTGCAGTCAGAAGATCTGGGCTCCAGAGCTGGCTCTATCCTTTATCAGAAAAGTAACCTTGGACACATTACTTAATCTGTCCAAGCAACAGTTTTCGCCTCTGTAAAATAAGCATACTGATAGTACCTATACAATGTAGAGATTAGTTGAGATAGTCAAAGTTCTTTCTGTTCCAGGAAGTGCTTTCATATAGTCTTAATGATGCTTTTGCTCTCATTCTGTCCTTTTCATGTGAACTATGACTTTGGTGAGGGCAGGGCCATGCCATATATAATACTGTCTTTAGGCCTTAGCACAGGGACTGGCACACTGCAGGTGATGAAAGGTCTTTGTGAAGGATTGCATGCATCTTCCCTTCCCTTGTCTTCCTTCTACTTGCTTTCCACTTTGCCCCCTCTTAATTATCCCCAAATACATGTTGAATTTATGAGGGAGCAGCAGGGAGGGCCACTTTGGAGAGAATCATTACTCCACTCCCTTTCACTGCATGGCCTTTTCCCTAGGCTAGTCAGAGAGCTATTTGAGCTAGTTAAGTATAAGACCACTGAGTAAGAATGTTGACTTCCAACCAGGCTGCTATATCCCAGTTTTTTAGCTTAAAAGTGGCTATTGCGGTGCCTTAAATAAGTATAAATCCTGACCAAAAGAGAGCAAAAAGTTTAGCCTGGCTGAATTTTGAATCCAACCATAAACTAGAAAAAGAAGGAGCGGGAAGACTCACCACGAGGCTGTATCAATAGCCCCAGTGTGAGAAGGCTCAAAGAGTCTGGCCTGAAGCTTGAGCTACCACAGCAGTGAGATGATTTCTAATTTTAGAAATATTAAATAACTGATAATGATACGACCTTGTTAAAGAACCATGTTAGGAAAAAAAGGGACACTGTTAAAAATAGCGTACACTTTCCCTGCTGAAGGTTCCAGGTAAAACGTGGGTTCACAACCATAATGTAGGTTCCAGATGACGAGACAACCCACATTGCTGACAAATGTGGCAAGGCCAAGACTCCTGTGTGTCCTGGAAGATACGCATTTTCAGCAACCAGCAGGGCGGCTAAGTATAAGCACTGGGAAATCAAAGAAATAGGACTGAGTCCTTGTTCTCAAGGGGTGTGAAGTCTAGTCACCAGCCTAATGGTGACTCCAAGATATCCTAATTTTAATATGTGAAGCTGTGCTACAGTGCCCAAGACCTAACTGGGGAAAAGCAGCCTCATGCAATGCCTAGAAATGTCTGAAACATTGCTGCTGGCATCCTATAAAACAGGAATCTGAAATGCAAAACCGAAATAAAACCAGCAGGCCTCACTCTGGGAGGACAGAGAAATGGAAGATGCAGTAACCCTGGAAGGTTAACAGAACCCCGGATAGCTTCCCCATCCTGCCCAGTGCCACAGATAGGCACCTCTAAAGCTTGGCTACCTCAAGGATCATTAAATGCTTTTAGCAAAGCTGTCTCTGAGGAGCAACCAGCTTTGAAAGCCAAACTGAAAAATGTCCATCTGATCTTGTAATTGGAGAGAAAGTAGGATCTGTGCCATGATAACACATTAGAGTCATTTGGAGATGAGGGAAAGGAAGGGGTGGTCTCATAATTAGCAGGAGCCTGAGAGTGCAGAGAGGGGATGTTTCTGGAGTCAACACTGGAATTTACTTGGCATCAGATGCCATCAGTCCCTCCCTATGTGACTCTAAACACATGAAGAATTTGCTGAGTACACCTTGGCTAAATCTTATCTGAGTTTCTTCATGTCAACAATACTTCCAATCATACGGTTTAAAACTGGTTCTCCACAGGGGGCAGTTTTGTCCCCCAGGGGACATTTGACAATGTCTGGGGACATTTTTGATAGTCCTCAGTTGGAAGAGATTTTCTACTGGCATCCAGTGAGTAGAGGCCAGGGAAGCTATTAAACTATTTATTGTAAGACAGCCCTTCACAAAAAAGAATTATTCAGCCAAAATGCCAACAGTGCCGAGGTTGAGAAGTCATAGTTAAGAATAATGAATATTTTCTGAACTGCCATCATTTTCAGGATTCTTTTACTTTTATACCTTGAAAACAAAGGAATTGGCTTACCTATCATCACTACAGTAATAGAAAATTCCCAACAATTAAGATGCTCCAATGGTGTTTACTCATTCTTTTTTTTTTTTTTTTTTTTTTTTTTTTGCGGGGCAGCGGGGGGAGTCTTATAAACAGAGACCTTAGACAAGAGGTGAAGGGACTTCTGCAATACTGTCAGAGTCAAATACCTTGAGATTTCACTTTGTTCCCACATCTGAGGCCATCAGCCCTCGCCAGACCTCACAGCCTGAAATAATGTTTTGGAAAAGCCAAATATAAAGATACATGATTTTTTAATCTGCTGGGAGTGGGTGGGACCACACTACTGTTGAGAAAGATCTTTCTAAATAGTAGATTGGATTATGTGGCTCTCTTCTTGAAGCTTTCAATGACTGCCCACAGGACAATATATTGCACTGTTCTTCTCCATCTGGCTCCTACCATATCTCCAACCATCTCATCTTCTGGATCTTCCCAGCTCACATCATTTACCCCAGTTATACTGGATATCTTGTCTTCCCCAAGATGCAACTGTCCCATCACACTTTTCTTGTTTTTAAACATGGGAGTGTTCCCCTGCCCACAAGGTCCTCCACCCTATTTTCCAACTAACTCCTAGCTGTCTGCTAAGAATGATCTCAAATGTCCACCACTTCTAAAACTATTTTCTCACCTGGCCCCTGCTCCTTCCCAATACCCTGGCCTAAGTCTGGTGCCCTTCCCAGAAAAACCTGTATCTGCTTCCAGTATAATACCTACTGTCCTGAATTTCAACTAATTATGCATCATCTCTAGGCACTTTGAAGAGAAATGGTTTCCTGTTCATCTCTGTATGTACATCAACCCTCCGGGTATGGTGCAGGGCTTGAGTCCCTAACAAGCTTTCAACTACTATTTGGGAAAGAATAGAAGAAAAGTACAGGGTAGGGAGGAGGACAGGGTGAGGAGGGAAACAGAAGACAAGAAAGGAATGATGATGGAAGGAAGAAAGTGGGAAGTGAGAAAAGGAAAGAAAAGGCAGGAGGGAAGCAAGTAGACTGGGAAGGAGGAAAGAGAAAGGAGGAAAGGTGAGATGGGAAGAGAGGGAAAGACAAAGAAGGAAGAAGGAAGGGAGAAGGAAAGAGATCAAAAAGAGAGAAGGAAGAACTCTGCTAATATCTCTTGCTTAGAAAAGATTTATTCTGCTCTCTCTGACTTGAATCGAATCCCTGCATTAACTATCTTCAAGAACCACATAACTCTCTGGCATAGCACTTTCCCCATTTGTAATTATAGATGTATCTGTGTGATTATTTACTACAATGCTGCAGCCTCCATGAGGTTGGCTTCTACATTTTCCTTCAGTGTTATAGCTTCAGTACATATTGTGTCTGTGAAAATTATTTGCTAAATAAATGCAAAAGTGGGCAGACTGGTGGAGCAGAACCAGCAGCTAATTTTATTAGTAAAAAGTCAGCCCCTCTGTTTTTTATAAACCAGGCTGGGAACTTAGATTTGGTCTTGTTTAACCTTCACCTAAATTTTTCCATATTAAAAAACTTCTTCTGCTTCTAGAAAGAATTGTTCTAAAGCATTCAAGACAGTGGCAAATACATTCTCACTTTAAAAATCAATCCCAGGAGCAATTTATTACAGGGAAATTTCCTGGACTCCAAGAAGCACCTTGAAGTCAGGAGATGATTAATTTGATATAACTGAAGAGCTGCAAACATCTGCTCCCCGTTGACATCTGCCTCTCATTAAGTTACAGCCCTCTGTCTCCCTCTGCACTGGGGGCTGGCTTGTGTGTTGATCTGGTAACTCTAATTATATGGTAAGCCCAGTGCTCAAGGCCCTTGTGCCAGCCACCTGGTGGGGGCTCAATAAAAACTTGCTCTATTGCATTGTACTCCAGATCCACCCTGAGCACTTTGTAAGTCCTCCATCACTCCTAAATAATAGAAATAAAAAACAGTAATGAGGTTGGTGGACACATTGTCATCCTGTAGCTCTGGCTACGGCTGAATCCAGATAGAATCAAACCCTTGATTGAGTCACATAAACAAACAAATTAAATCCATGAAAAATCTTCCAAATCTGTTATTTGGCATCAGGTTTTGCAATAACTCTTTAATTGTTATCCCTTACCCTGTTATCGCCTTTCCCACCGACGTTGCTATCAATGTAATTGTCTTAAAACACACTCTGATACTGAGCCATCCTATTCAGAAACTTCAGAGGCTCTGCTCTGCCCACGAACACGTACCACCTTCCTAACCTTGACTGTTAAGCCTTCCACTTCTTTGAATAAACCTAACCTCTGTGCCAGTACTTCCCTTCAGACATCCCTGTTTTTAGTTATATGGTATGATTTCTTGCTTCCCAGTTCTGCTAGTGCTCTACCACTTTCATGCCTTAGCAAATGTAACTCACATAAAGCCCACGTGCCATATGGCACCATCTTGATTCAGTGTGTGTCATAGGTATATCAACCCTGACCCAAATAGACATACAAATAATTTAATCTTTACTGCAGTCTTTCATAAACATACCCAAAGCGAGAACATAGAAAAACTTCCTAAAACCTCTCTTCTCCCATTTCTTTCCTTCCTTTCCCCCGATATGCCTAGGCTCACCTAAAGTCTCTCTTCTCCCCAACTCTAAGCTCCCACTCCAAGATATTCTTCAAGCCCACCTTCAGGTTCTTTTGTCTCCCTTCCTAAGCTCTTCATATCTGTATCATTTCAGCCTCCCTGACTTCTTAGAACTTTCCGGTAAGAGCCCTGGAGCTAACTCAATAAACAAAAAAAATTCTTCCAGGCTAGGACATAGGGTAAGGGAAAAAAAATTGAAAAAATAAATTATTTTAGTTTGTCTTATTCCTGTCACATTTACAGTGTACACTCTGCATGGAATACTGTTGGCCCATTTCTAACATCAATACCCCACTCAATAGTTAAAGCCCAGAACAAAAGATCGTCCTCGAAACATTCCATGATGCCCTCTTAGAGAACTTTGCACATTCTATCTTTTCTTATAGCTTTTGGTGTAAATGTCTTATTTCTACTTTTGAAAACTGAGACTCAAGGTCATCTGTAAAACCCTTATTTCCCTTCAATACTCACCTAAATATCACTTCTAGGGCAAAGAGTTTCCTCTATACTCACCCAAAAATTTTTTCCAGGGCAATGGCTTCCCTCACTTTCTTTCTAGCCTTGGCTTGGTTATTTCTTTGATGCCACAGCAACTGGCACTAACCTGATATATCATAATGAAATTCTGTGGATTATTTACGTGTCTGTTTTGCCTTCTCTCACCCCGAACATGTATACTTTGAAAACAGGAAAATCTCTTATTCATCCCCAAACTTATCCAAGTACTCAGCCAAAACATGTTCTCAGAAAATGTGTGTGTACAATGTCATGTTTATGAAGTTATGTATTCTCCACAATATCTGTTTCTATACTGTACTCATTGTAGATTCTCGAAAAGTGTATTTGGAATTGAATTGAACATATATGAAACATTCAGCTTGATTGATTTTCTTCTTTGACATAACTTTATCTGTTTGGTGGTCTAAAAAGGTTTTCAAAGTGAAAAACTGGTGGAGAGAAAACAAAGGATTAAAAATAAACTAGTTTGACCAGTTTCTTTCCCTGTGGATATAAAGCCAAACTTGGAGCTTTGTCTAAGGAAATCACACTGCCAGGCAAAAGATAATAGGCTGAGAGTGGGTCCTTCTTTTGCAGCCTGCAAGGCTGCAAGACCTTTCATTTCTGTATTAGAATATTCTGTTATACTAGGCTCATGTGGCTCCTTTGGTTAATGGTGACAGAAAATGTCACTCCAGGGCCACATAACTGCAAATACTACTGGCCTAGAAGCTGAAACAGATTGATACTATTGGCAAACCACACCTAGGCGGCTTTTTATAAGAGGCGGGAGAAAATAGAGTGATTAAACATAATCACTCTTATGCATCGTGCAACTAATCTCCAACATCCCTGGACTGCTCTCCAGGCTCTATAACTTACACCCAATCCATGGAGGTAGGCCCATTAACTATGTTTCCAGTACATAAAGGAGTCTACAAACAAAAATTCATTAATTCTTTCAAAATTCAGTCCTTCTCCTGTGGAGCAGGAGCTTGGAGGAAAAAGGATATTTTTTTGGCAAAGGTTTTGAGTCAGAAGTTCAAGGTAGAGGCAGCCTGGGGAAGAAAAATACTGTTGGTGCCTATGCTCCCTGCTAGCTCCAGCCCCAGGAGTGGGTTATGAACCCATTCCCCTTGAACAGACATTGGTTTGCATGGTGGTATGGTTGTAATTCCAGCCAATGAGGTGTGAGCTGGAGAACTGTGGGAAAGCATATCTTTTCAAAAAAAAAAATCAACAAAAGACACATAAGAAAAGCTGGTCTCTTCTTTTTCTCTGGACATTGTCTTGTCTGGCTGTGTTATGTACAACTGCAGCAGCCATTTTGCAACCAAGAGAGAATCGTAGGCTGAGAATAAAGACAACAGTGGCAGATGTGAAAGAAAAAAAGACCCTCATTCTTGATACTACCATCTCTCTACTGAATAACCAACACTGGAGACCCCTTACTTCTGAATTTCTTGTAATATGAAATAATACATTTCCTTATTGTATTAGCCACTTAGAATTAGGGGGTTTTTTTGTTTTTGTTTTTTTTTGTTTTGTTTTGAGACGGAGTCTCACTCCTGTTGCCCAGTGGTGCAATCTTGGCTCACTGTAACCTCTGCCTCCCAGGTTCAAGTGATTCTTCTGCTTCGGTCTCCCAAGTAGCTAGGACAACAGGCATGTGCCACCACACTTTCATTACTTGAAGCCAAAATAATCTTAATACATTTGGATTACTGAATTAGTTAAAACTTTTGAGGATTATTTTTTTTTTAAGCATAGTTCTTGCACCTACTCCATCACAACAAACAGGTGAGAACCAGTACCTGTCTCAGCCACTTCCTCTTCATATCCCAGACCCCATGCTCGGCTGTGGACCATGTTACTGGTCTTCATCCTCAGCTGAGTGACCCATTGATTTACTAGATTAGGTCTAGACTGAACTATTGATTCTATTAATATATAGTCCCTTAATTACATGCCCAAATCACATACCACCCCTTCCCTCCTCCTTTAGACTTCTAGAACACCCACTTGATAAGCCAGCCTCCTGACACCTGTTGCAAGAAAGGGAATTTAGAACACATGCGGGCAGAGGCAAACTATATGATCTACTCCATGTTCTTGCACTGCATTTATTATGTTTCTGTCCATAGCCAGCACTTGGTTAAGCTCAGTGAATTAAAGGACAAGTTACCTAACCTCTGAGGGAAACTCAAGCTCTGAAAAGCCATTCCTCAAGCAACTACCTGGATATTCCTGTTTTTGAATGCATGAGTTTATTTATTTAATTTATTAAGGATTTAGTGAGCAGTTAATCTAGGCCCCATGCATTCTGCTAAAGATTGGGGATGCAACAGTGAATGAACCTTTTATTCATTCAGCAATCATATAATGAGTTTTTACTATGTGACAGAGAACCATTAGGGCTTAACCTATAAAGGAAAAAATATACAGAGATTACCCAGAAGGAGGGCACAGCAGGGACAGATGTTGTATGGTAGAGACAGACCTCTATCATATACTTATCCAAACACTAGGTAAAGGATAAGAGTAAGGCAAGAGAGAACATTCTAGACCAAGGAAACTGCAAGTACAAAAGCACTGAGGCAGGAAGAGGAATGGCACAATTCAGAAAACCAAAAGCTAGTGTTACTGGAGCACAAGAACAAGGGGGAAGCTATTTCAAGAGGTGGCTGTGAGAAACAGGAGGCAATGGCTCGATCACAAGACATCCTTTATACCATGTCAAGGAATTTGGACCTTTTCCTAAAGCTCCATTGGAAAATTTTAAGCAGGGTTATAAACTGACCAGACTTTTGCTGGAAGGGAGGGCCAAGCCTGGAGTCAGAACGACTAGTAGAAAAATAAACATGAAATAAGGAACATCTTAACAAAGACGGTGGCAATTGGGAATAGAGAAGAGAAGATGAAAGAGACATCAAGTCAGTGGAATCAGTAGAAGATAACTGCCAACAGGCTATTTTAAAAGCAGGGGAGGAAGAAGGACAAGGAGAAGATGATTCCCAGGTTTCAGGGGAAGGCAGTTTGAGAAGGAGTGGAATTAGACTGCATTTAGTTAACGACCTATTGTGTCCAATGTGGGGCATCCAAGTTAAGCATTAAAGACATGCAAGAGAAAAATTTGGGCTGGAAAAAAATAAATTTGGGTTCCACAGCAAATTGTGGGTATTTAAAAATGTGAGAATGGATGAGTTCACCCTGAGAAGCGGTATGTAGTGAAAAGAGAGGAGTCCTACTGGAGATCCCTGAAGACAGTCTATGTTTGAGGGGCTTTGGGCAAGACTACCAATGGAAAGCAATACATCAAACCAAAAGGCTGTTAAATAAAATGTTTAATCCCCCTGCTTTTAAAAATATACCTTTATGGCCGGATGTGGTGGCTCACGCCTGTAATCCCAGCACTTTGGGAGTCTGAGGTGGGCGGATCACCTGAGGTCAGGAGTTCAAGACCAGCCTGGCCAACATGGTGAAACCCTGTCTCTACAAAAATATAAAAATTAGCCGGGCATGATGGGGGGTGCCTGTAATCCCAGCCACTTGGGAGGCTGAGGCTTGACCCAGGAAGTGGAGGTTGCAGTGAGCCAAGATCATGCCATTGCATGCCAGCCTGGGTGACGGAGTGAGACTCCATCTCAAAAAAAAAAAATATAGATAGATAGATAGATAGATAGATAGATAGATAGATAGATAGATAAATATCTTTACAATAATACAAGTTTGAGTGTATAAAATGATGGTTTTTATGTGTCTAAAATTTGGCAAAAATTAATAGGATGACTGAGTTCAATTATTATTTTGAATGTCTGCATGCTCTGTTGATTGCCCAGCAATGTGCAAATGAGGGATTAAAAAAAGACGTGCACAGTTCATGAGTTATTATAAATTTATCCCATGAAATTTATCTCCTTGTCTTCTTTTCAACAAAATCACTAATGATGTTGTTGTAATCAAGATTCTTATATAGTCATGTTCTTTTCACGGTAGTGACAAAATAGAAAACTGAGGCAGTACCAACTGGAGATGTCAACAAAATTATTAAAGCAACATTTCAATTCAGAAATGAACCATTAATTTTATAGTTATGTTTTACATAACTGTAAATTACATGACCCATGTAATTTTACATGGGTCAACAGATGTAGAGAAGGATTTCCCCAAGCCTGAACAGCGTTAGTCACGAGAGCAGTTGTTTAAGGTTATGAGACATACAGTCCCAGTACTGAGTACTGGATCCCAATTGTAGTGGTGCCCTTGTGTCCTTTAATAAATGTACTGGGAGACTGTGACATGTGGGGCCTTCAAGAAGATGCTCCAGGCAGGGCTTCCTGTTGCTGAGTCTAAAGATGCATCTGAGGAGCATCAAGAGTTAAACAGTGGGTGGAAGAAGAGAATCCCGTGACAGAGTTTGAAGTATCATAGCCAGAGAAATTAGAGCAAAACCAAAAGTGGTACTATAAAAATCAAGGGAGAAGAATTTCTAAGTAGTTATCAACAAAGGCAAACATTTCAGAGAGGTGAAAAAAGCAGGACATTGAATAAACGAAATGTGGCATATTCATACAATGGAATGTTATTCAGCAATGGGAAGGGATAAGTTCTGAAATATGCTACAATGTGGCTGAATCTCAAAAACACTCTAAGTAAAAGAAATCAGTCACAAAAGACCATGTATTGTATAATATAACTTATATATAATGTCCAGTATAGGCAATTCCACAGCAACAGAAAGTGTTTTAGCAATTGTTGGGGGATGGCAGAGTGGAGGGAAATGGCAGTGACTGCTAATGAATATGGGGTTTCTTTTTGAGGTGATGAAAGTGTCCTAAATTTAGATTATGTTGATGGTTGCACAACTCTGTGCCATTGAACTGGACACTTTCTATGACTAACTTTACGGTATGTAAATTACATCTTAATAGAGCTGTTTAAAAAAAAAAGAAAAGAAAAAATAGGAAGATATATCTGCTACTTCTAAGATCAAACCACTCTATACAATCACACCAAACATTGTCCATCTAACTATGAAAAATCAAGTCCTGGGAGCCATCAGATGTTTAAGACTAATCTATCTTCCATGATGATTGGCCCATTGCCTCTGACCAAAAAAAAAAGTCTATTTATCGAGAAACAAGGGAATGAGATAAAGGGACCATTTCATAATAAAGGTATTTCACACTAAAGTAAACTTGAAAACAGAGAACATTTATGCAAAAAAAAATCCATTTACTATGTCAGTAATTTTCAGCATTTCCCCTGCTGTTATTGTAGATAATTGAGTAAAAGCTTTTCCTTCTCTACATAAAGCATCAGTTTCCAACTGATTCTCTTAGAAATTTAGTTTTGAGATCTCACTTCAAGATCATGACTGTAGAGTTTATGGGAAATGCATATGTGTTTGAGTAAATAGAACTATTTCCTTTTCTTCAGGCAAATACTTGCAACAACTGGAAAAAAACAGAAGAGGGAAAGAAAGAAGTAAAATCTCCCACCAAGTTTATCAACCCAGAGCCACAGCTACTGTTTTGTAATCTCCAGGCGACTATATATCTAGGCTATGAATCCACATCTTTTTCACCCAACTCACTATTCAAGATTTATGTGATTCAGGGTATTAAATGCTAATATATTTCTGTTGCTCAAATTTTTAATGTACGCATTAGTTCTGAAGTCCATAAGCTGGTTAATATTCACATTCTGGCTAACGCATAGTGTTGAATTTGTACCTTCTAAGAATTATTTTAGACTACAAGTTGGGGATATGATACCCACAGGCAAGCAAAATGTAATGGGGAGCTTAGTAACTTATAAGAAATCTTATCACTCTAACAATAACAAACACAAATAATAGGATAATTAACATATTTTTTACAGTTCATACAACACAGTCATATATAATACTTTGATTTTCATGAAATAGGTAGATCAGGTATTACTATCATCTCCATTTTTAGCTGGATAGACTAAGGTTGGTCAAAACCATTAAATGACTTGGGAACATATCCTTGCTCACTGTTTCCAGAGCCCTCTGTCTGTAACACTCACTTGTGTCTGATTACTTGACACGTGTCTTCCTCTCTAAGTTTCATGGAAACGTGGTCCTAGCACAGCATCTGATGTGCAGTATGTGCTCCATAACCATTTGTTGAATTGAATTGATCAAGTTCCCACAACTAGTGAGGCATGGAGACATGATGTCAGATGTCCATGTCACTTGTTCTTTTAAAGCCTTAGCTGTGTTTTATTTACCTATTGTTACTGTTGGCTCATAAAAATTAGAAGAAGAAGATGCCAAGTGAGACAGGTAGACTGGGAATGTTTATTTCTATACCATAAAATATTTATTTTTATACCTAAAACCACCTGTGTGAAACAGCACTTTGGCATATGGCTTAGTGATCATATGGCTTTATGGCCAGATAGCTCAGTGGTTGCATAGCCCAGTGGTCATAAGCCTCAGGGGTCATATGTCTCCATGGTCACGTAACTCAGTAGTGGGCTCAGTGATCGTATAGCTCAGTAGCTATAGAGGTCTATGAACAGATAGCTCAGTTGTGATATATATAGGCCAGTGGTCACATAGCTCCTTGGTCATATAACTCAGAAGTCATATATCTCAATGACCTTAATGGTTATATAGCTTAATTGTTCAGAGTCAGAGGACATATAATCAGGTCTTTTCCCCAAACTTCACTCTATCCTCTCCCAGATGTCAGTTTTTTAGCACACCACTAAACCTTCCTAAGCTGCAGTTTCCTCATCTGCAAAATGGAGATTAAAAAAAATTAAAATCTCCCCGGATTATTTTCATGGCAAAATGAAATCGGATCTGTAAACCATGCAGCACAATGTCTGGCACTTAAAAAGCATTGATTGTGCATCATTATCATCATTGTTATTATTACTCTTATTATTATTGTGTCCCTAAAGAGAAAGAAGAAAGTCTTTTGGGTTGAACACAGAATTGTCAACAGCAGAAAAGGCAATTTACTGATAACTGATACTTGATTTGGAGATAGGAAAGCTTTTACTCAATTTTCTGCAAGAATAGATGAGTAAATGTTAACTCTGTCATGTCTTCCATGTCACACTGCAACCCCCAGAGGCAAGAACAACATCTCCAGCTTCCTGGGGAGAAGTTCATTGACTTGCCAGTTGAAGAACCCAAAGCCTCCTAGATTATTCTCCTCTCATTCTCTTTCACCAGCCCTGAGTCATTTAATCTCCTCATTCCACCTTCATTGCTATGTGCAGTATTTTTTGTAGGCAATTACCACCCCACTTGATCATTTTAAAGAAGGGAATTTCTAAATCCTTTTGCAGCTTAGAGAAGCATGTTCTTTCATTTGTACACATACACACACACACACACACACACACACACACACACACACTTCCCTTTACTGCTAGGTATTATAATTTCCAATTTCAAATGCTTCTTATGAACACAAGAATTCCCAGCTATTGTGGGATGAAGAACTATGTCTTCCTCTCTGAGTCCCTTCGTCAGAGCCTCCCTGCCCTCCTGTCAGCCTGAGCCAGCCAGCAGCTCAGAATATGGTTGAAATAAATTTATACAGACATTGACACTTCATTATTGTCTTGTGGGTATTAGTAAAAGAGAGTATCAAGAGTAAGGAACTTAGGTATAATCCTGATTTCATCACAGTTTAGGTGACTGAGTTGTCAGCAAATTATTCCATGTCCCCATAACTTGATTTACATGTTTGTTAAATGAAAATATAATACCTAGTTCATTGACCTGTGGTAAGATTACAGAAATAAAAATATTTGGTAAAATATAAGACATTCCTCAAAAATATTTTAATTGTTAGACATGATAGTACAGAGAAAGAAAGGTAATGCAAAATTAATATGAATTTAGGACCCATTGAGTGATGGGTACTCTAACTGCTAAAATGTTACTTTTTTGATGTATGTATCAAGAAATTACCTTGTATCTACATTTATTTTTGTTCAAGAATTCTTTCTCTCTTCCTCTGGTGTGGAAGATGATGGCCAATGCTCTGTCTATATTCCCCTTCTCTCCTTACATCCTTTCTCCTGTCAAGCTCAGCTCTTCGCATTATTACTACTGTCAGCTTCAGACAAATATCTCACAAATTTACCCTGAAGCCTAGGGAGTCAGGAGACCACCAAGGAGCAGCACCAAGCAGAAGATTATCACATCATGGAGAAGCCCCAAGTGGTACCACTTCACCTAGATGGTGAGCTCCCTGGAGGTCAGTGCCATGAAGGACTCATGGGGAGATTTGGACCATTAAGAATGGGTAGAATTTAAATGGGTAAATATTAAAAAAGAGAAGGCTATCCAGAACATGGAAAGGTGTGATCCAGCATTGTAGGAATGTATAACAAGGGCATCTGGAGCATATGCATGAAGACTTTGGTTCATTTATTCATTCAACCATTTATCAAGTGCTGTATTACTTTTCTATGGTTGCGTACCAATTTACCACAAAGGTAGTAGCTTGAAAAAACACATACATATAATCTCACACTTTCCATGAGTTAGGAGTCGAGTCATGGCTTAGCTTGCTTCTCTGCTTGGGGTTTCATGAGGATGCTACTGGGCTACATTCCTATCTGGAGTCTCAACTGGAGGAGAACCCACTTCCAAGCTCATTCAGATTACTGGAAGAATTCATTACTTGCAGCTTTGTGACTGAAGTCCCATTTTCTTGCTGGCTGCCAGCTGGAGACCCCTATCAGGTCCTAGAGGCCACTGTCATATTCCTGCCACATGGCCGTCTTCAACAGGCCCTCTCACAACATGAAGGCTTCTTTTTTCAAGGCCATCAGGAAAATCTCTCTCCCTCCAGGAGGACTCAGTCCCTCTTTTAAGGGTTTTAATCTGATTGGGTTAGACCCACCCTGGATAAGTTTCTCAAAGCCAAGTAATTAGGGAATTTAACTACATCTGCAAAAATCTCTTCACCTTTACCAAATAATGTAACCTACTCCCAAGATTGGCATCCATCATATTAACAGATCCTTCCCACACTCGAAGGCAGGAGATTATATAGAGTATGTACACTATGGAGTGGGATTCTTGAGGGTCTTCCTATAATTCTGCCTACCACAAGCATCTATTATCTGCCAAGCAAATAATTGACAGAAATAATTTGAACAATAATCTGATGTGTTGTCTTCAAAAAGTTATAAATTGGATGATAAGCACAACAAGATTATAGGGCTAGATGAATAGGATTAAATGGGGGAAAAATACATGTAAAGTGTTTATCTCAGTGCCTGAAAAATGAAAATTAGTGTTCCAAAAAGTTAGTTCTTATTATTAAATAATTAAAATACAGTCTACTAAGAGGTGTATTAAAGTTCTGGGCAAGACATATATTGAATGGGGGAAATGCTCAGTTGTTTGGGAGATTAGAAAAGCCTTAAAAAATAGAAGCTATTGGATCTCAGTCTTCTCACATATTTTACCAGATTGGCCTTATTAGCCCATTTTTTAAAATGTTTGGAAACTGAGACTCAGTTAAGGAACTTACCCAAGGTCACTCAACTAGTAAAAGATGAAGGGATGAAATGCACGTTTCACACCGGCATCTTTTGGTGTGGGAACGCTTGTCCCTCATGGTATGTGTGTGTGTCTACAGCAACAAGGAGTCCATGTTAGCCATAGGGAGACATGTGTGGGGGTAAATACCCATATATCTGCCCTATCCATCGATGCTGAGTAAGAATGGAGCCCAGCATTATCAACCATCCTGATTATTCAAAAGAAACTTGAGAAACAAATTTTGTTTCTCAAAATTTGTTGGTGGGTTGATCACTTGAGGTCAGGAGTTCGAGATCAGCCTGACCAACATGGAGAAACCCTGTCTCTACCAAACAAGCTTATGTAGATAACATGGGTTTATGTCACTAAAAATCAGGAAAGGGGATTTAAAATTAGATAAAACAAAACAAAAAAGTAGGTACATTTGGTAAGAGAATTGCCTAATACCTAATCAGAATATTATATTAGGAAAATTGTCCTGGTCCTGGTGGGCAAGATGCATTACAAGGGAGCAAGGAAGTACCTAGGTGGATAGTTGATCCAAGGAAGCTGCATTTGTACTTCAGATGTGCAGCTGGATCAGTGGAGAACATTGGCAGAAGTGCTGGAAATGGGAATGAACAAGTAAGTAGGAGTTGGATAAAAGGCCTGGCAGTGTTGAACCCCTCCTCAGGACTCCCCCACCCTTTCCCCGAAAACCCTCTTCCATCTTCCCTCCCCTACTCACGTGCCATGCCTCAGTCAACCTGCACCACCCAAGTGTTGGCAATGCACTCCAGGCTAACCTTTTCAATGCCTGTTTGCTTGGTGTTTTCATCCCTGGGAATAGCCTTCCTCTTATTCTCCTCTGACAAAATCCTCATCTTCTGTCAATGCTCATATTAAGTACCACCTATTTCAAAGAATGGTCTATAATCTTTCCTGGCTTCCCAAATTGGTGTGATCTCTAGTTTCTCCAAACACTCAGATTGTACCTAAAAATTCACACCATACCACTTAGCACTTTGATACATGCTTTTATGGGGTTCTCTAATTGATTTTAACTCAGTACAAGGAAGGCCTTTCCAACAATTAGAGCTCTCTGACTGCCTATGAGGGAGGAGCTGCCTGTGAAGGCAGTGAACTGATCCTCACTAAGTTTGCATGCAGTTTCAGTCATTGTCAGGAAATTGAAATGAATCCCCAAACCTCTGTAAAGATTTTAACATCTAATAGGAATGTGGGTCTGGAAAAATCTCTGAAGTCCTGTATCACTCAGAAATTCTGGATTATATATAGCAAGGTAGCATTTATTCTATAAACATCTTCTGAGCACCTACTTTGGGCTCCAATCATAAACACAAACTCGACCAGGCGTAGTGGCTGGGATTACCCCTGTAATCCCAGCACTTTTGGCAGCCCAGGTGGGCTGATCACTTGAGGTCAGGAGTTCGAGATCAGCCTGACCAACATGGTGAAACCCCGTCTCTACCAAAAATTAGCCCAAGTGTGGTGGTGAGTGCATGTAATATTAGCCACTTGGGAGGCTGAGGCAGGAGAATCACTTGAACTTGGAAAGGGGAGGTTGCAGTGAGCTGAGATCATGTCACTGCACTCCAGCTTGGATGACAGACTGAGACTCTGAAAAAAAGAAAGAAAGAAAGACAGAGAGAGAGAGAGAGAGACAGACAGACAGAAAGAAAGAAAGAAAAGAAAGAAAGAAAGATAGAAAGAAAGAAAGAAAGAAGAAAGAAAGAAAAGAGAAGAGAAGAGAAAAGAAAAGAAAAAAGGAAAAGAAAGGAAAGGAAAGGAACACAAGCTCAATTGCTTACAGGTGACATGTGAGGAAGGTGACTTTCATCAGGAAGGGGGATGCATATTGGGTATCACTGGGAAGTGGTGGAGAGAGGGACATGCTGGAGCAGACATGCTTTGTCTAAAGCGAATACCCATTTATCTGCCCCATCCATTGTTGCTGAGTAAGAATGGAGCCCAGCATTATCAACCATTCTGATTATTCAATGTAAACTTGAAAAACAAATTTTGTATAAAATATCTTGAATTTTTAAGTTGAAAAATAATTCTGTTTACAAAAACAGAAAACAAATTAAACAAAACATAACAAAACATGCAGGCCCAAGAAAACGCATCCAAGGTTTAGAGTCAACCCTCAGGCACCATCTTGAGCCTTGACACTAAATACTGTACAGGATGCTTGGGGTAAGAAAGATAAAGCTGACCTTGAGAAACCCTACACTCTTATGGGGAGACAGGCATTTGAACACCTAATTCCATTATAAAGTACATTTAGCATATTTCAGGGTTGTCTTCAACAGTAAATGAGGCTATTTCATGGCAAAACAAAGAAAGACAGAAAGACTAGTGTGAAATCAATGTAAAAATATACACTCAATGTGTGTGGGAGTACAAAGGAAGAGATGGAAAACCTAGTAAGGAGTTCAGGACAGTAATAAAGCATGAAAATAACAAGTCAAACTGATATTCGAAGAATAGAAAAGAAAGGTAGTGACTTTCCAGAAAAGGTGAACACAGACCTAAGTCTATATTCAAAAATATATTGAATTGCTCCCTAGGGCAACTAGATAGAGGAGTAGTTTTTGTTTGAGGAGAATTATGATTCATTCAGTTTGGAACAAGTCCCACTGGATATGGCTATAAAACATCCAGAAAGCAATGTGTAATTGACCAATTTCATCATGGAGTTGGAAGATTGGAAGAAAAATGATTACAAGAGATGAAGATTTGGGGGTCATCTACAGAGGTATAAGGTTTCAAGTTATGGATGTGAATGAACTCAACAAATGGGAGAGTACATGGTGAGAATAATAGAGAATGGGGGCTCATATATTAGAAGATAAGGAACAGATAGGGAGTAAGAAAGTCCAACAAAGTTAACTAAAGAGAATATTTTGAAAGCAGGGGAAGACCTGAGTCCTTGAAGCCAAGGTATGTATGTTTGTTGAGAAGTCATTCTCCTTCCATTCCTTTACATGTAGGTCATCCTCAAGGTACCAATACCAGGGGGAAAAAAATGTAATCTCTAAAACCAGCACAACAGGGCTGATTTCCAACCTGGGCAGGAATTCCTACTAGTGAAGTGCTGATAGTAAGTCTTGAAGAGAATGTTGTTGGGTGGTAGACTGAGCCTTTCATTTTGGATTGTCACCAGGAGAATATTCTTTCCATGGCTGAGAGAAAGAAGGCTTCTTTTCACTGGAGAAGAAACAGATTTTTGCAGTGACTCTGCAAAGACAACATAGGTCACGAGGAAGGGATTCATTATTTTCAACTGCAGTCTTTCCATAGTTCTGATACAAATGTTATTCTGCACCCAGAAACACTCAAACTAACTTCAAGGCGGTTGAACACATACATGTTCTTAGGTTGCAATTATTCATCACAGTCCACTTTATTTTTCTTAAGAAAACTAAATAAAGATTGGCTGGGAAAAGAAGGAAAATGAAGCAGGCCAAATGAGGAGTTTAGTGGACTTGAGATGTGAATTTTTAGAAAGTCCCTTCTCCCCATTAATCCTTCCTTTTTGTCCTTTATCCATTATGTGGGATTAGTTCTTTGTAAATTTGGATTTGTCCAGATGAATTAAATTCTTGGCAACTGCTGTTCCTGCTGACTGGGTGCTTCTTTGTGCTCTTTGTAAGATCTATAACTCATTGCACCTGTTGCATCTGAATAGTCCTCCGCAGCCAGGGGTGTGTGTGTGTGTGTGTGTGTGTGTGTGTGTGTGTGTGTGTGTGTGTGTGTGTGTGTTCTTTAAGGCATTCTACGATGTTCAGTATAAGAGGAAAAACTCCAGGATGATGGTAAGTGTTTTTAAACAGTGGACTGACTTACAGAGGCAAGTTGTAGAACTCTTTTTCATGGGAGATCTTTTAAGAAAAGCACGAGAGAAAGCTCTAAGAAGCGCAGTGTGCATCGGGACCCATTTTGGGCGGGAGGCTAGAAAGATGAGTTCTGAAGACCTTTCCAGCTCTTGGGGGCTGCTATATGTTTTCATCAGGGATCAAGAAAGGAATTTAGTGATCCTCCAGTCATTTGAACACATAATTCCATTAGAATGTATATTTAACATAGTTCAGAGTTGTCTTCTAACGGGTTAATTCTAGGTCCAAAAGATTTAATAGTAAGTTACCCAAAGTAATACAGTTAGTTAGTTCAAGATGGGGAACTAGAATCCACAGTTTCTTATGTCACCCATCCCCAAACACACACAGTTTCACATTATATCCCTTTTTGTTCTTTCAGATACGTATTAACCAGCTGGTTTGCCAGGCCTTTTTAGGGAGCTCTATATTTTCATCAAGTTTCACATATCTAAGAAATAACATCAGAATTTATGTCAGGAGGATGTTGTATTTTTTCAATGAAATAGATTTTTTAATGGAAAAAAGAGAAAGTGGCCTAGTATATATCTTAGCAGCTGAATAAACAGGTCTACAGAACAAGCATTTTTGGCTTTATATGTTATATATTATTTATAATACAATCATTCAATTTATTAAAGATTGGGCCATTAGTTTCATAATATAATACATTCACTCATCTTATTTCCCATCCAGAGCTCTTTCTGAGTTGGAAGTTGGCCAAATGGAGTATAGGCATCTCTCCCAGAGGTTCTATTAGGTTTCCTTCTTTCTTGTTTTCCCCATTGCTACCCACCACCACCACCACCAGAGATGAGCCTTTTCCCAAGCATCCTTGAATCCACCTACAAGGCATTCAGCTATTAACTGGGACTTCAAAAAAGTGGAACAAGTTTAGCCCTGAGGGTGAGAATACACACACACACACACACACACACATACACACACACACACACATATATGTATATAAATTGACATAGGGATTGGTCCATTTATATATTATAATTATACATGTCATTGGAAATAATATCTATTATATATGGCTGCAAATAGACATATATATTACTCCATTTATATATATATATAAGTCCATTTGCAGCAACATATAATATATATTATATATGTCATTGAAAACAATTTTGTATATATGTGTGTGTACATATATGTGTGTGTGTATGTGTGTGTGTATATATATATATATATATATACACACATATATATAAATATGTCATTGGAAACATCAACATAGAGCTGGACATTGAAATCCCCAGAAATTTGTCAGTTAAGAGGCTTAGATATGTAAATACTTCATGATCCCAATCAGTCTTCCATGACTTGCTCTGTTTGAGCTGCTATAAAAAGAAAATCTTGGACTGGGTAATTAATAAACAGCATACATGTATTGCTTACAGTTCTGGAAACTGGGATGTCTAAGATCAAAGTGCCCACAGATTCAGTGCCTGGTGAGGGCTTGCTCTCTCTCTTCTTCAAAGATGGTGCCTTCTAGCTGTGTCCTCGCATAGTAGAAAGGGAGAACAAGCTTCCTCAGTCCTCTTTCATAAGGGTACTAATCCCAATCATGAAGGCTCTGCCTTTGTGACCTAATTACTTCCCAGAAGGCCCTGGCTCTTAACACTATCGCATTGGAGATTAGGTATCAACAACTGAATTTTGGAGGGACACAAACATTCAGACCAAAGCGCTTGCTAAGGGATTATTTTCATCTGGGATGATTCCGACATGGCAATTGGAACACATTAATCTGAAAAGCCATTTCCCATGAACTATCACACCACTTCAGAAACAGAAAAGCTTCTTGAGAGATTGAGAACACAGACAAAAAGCTTTGATATGCGAGGAAAAGTAAGAAGGGTTGAGCATCATCTGAAGCTAGAACAACTCTGAGATGTGCAAATAGACAAAGAACAAGAGAAAGGATTTACCAAAGACAGACTTTAGCCACTTCACCACTAGGTACAGAGCTGTCTCTCTCTAGATGCTACTGGCATGTGTCATTAGAGTGGTTCAGCATGAATGTGTTCATCCATAGTAACCTGGGGGGAATGGGGTCAATCTCCCATTTCAGGATACTGTTTCAATTTTTGTTTTTTGGTTGATAACCTTTTTTTTTTTTTTTTTTTGGAAACTGGGAAAATGTAGACGTTTGCTCTGCTAAAAGTGGAAATTTAACATAAACTTAACTTCTGACTTCAAAGATTGCTGTATGCCAAGTCTCATTGTATCTCCATCGTTAACAGTAATCCAGGAGGAGAAAGTCATTAAACATTTTATGGTTTCCAATTGCCGTCAAGATACTAACAACTGACATTGATTGAGGACTTACTATGTAACAGGCTCTTTTATTGACACTACATATACTACACACACACATAAAGGGGCATATATATATATACACATATATACACAAATACTGTACACTATACACTTAAACACACTATGTATACTAATGTATGATACCACTATATACTACTATTACATATAAATATATAAATACATATAATCAACCCCAGAGGGTAGGAACACTTTACAAATAAAGAAACCAAGATACATATAGTTTACATTAATCTACATAACTAGTGAGTGATGACGCTGGAGTTAAAACTAGGCAGTCTAATCCTGGAGCCCATATGGGTTCGTGGCACATTTGTGGCATCCACACTGTGCTGAGCATTGTGCCACATGTGAAGGTTCAGAGATGAATAAGGCATGCCGCTATTCCTAAGTTCACAGTTGATGGAGGAGATAGGCACATTATTACAGTAAGGTGCAACAGTGCTGGCTGAGCTGGGTCTTGATGATTAGGATTATACATCTTGGAACACATCAGAACAAAGTATTCCACCCCCAGGTGCAGTATGTACAAAGGTAAGAAACAGCTGTAACAGTCATGGAGTTTTAATCGGGATGAGCCCCTGCAGAGAATCTGCAGAATCTGGGGGAAGAGAGAGCAACATGAAGCCAGAAGAATTGACAGAGACAATGCAGTGAAGAGCCTTGAATGCTAGTTTGTACTTTTATCCTATGAGAAATGCAGAGTTGGTGAAGGTTTGTAAGCTGGAGATGGAGATGATGGGATGTGTTGCAGAAGTATCACCGTGATAATCTTGCAGAGGCTGGACTGCAGAAGGAGAGAATGTAGGATTGGGGACCAATTAGGACACTCTTACAAGAGCTCATGCCAGATAGACTCTGCTAGAAAATGCAAACCTTCCCATTTTCTTAAATGATCACCTTACAACTTTCAATGATCTCCACTGCCCTTGGGATAAAATGCAAATCCTGTGATCTTGAATGACTGGACAAATATATTAAAGTCATTAAGTCTCACCATTCCCACTTCCTACCCTGCATTTCAACCACACAGAGGGACGCAATTGCAATTTGTTGGATTTGCCAATCTTATTTCCTTCCCTACTTTGTGTGTTTCCTCAACTGATTTCAGGGCATCCTGAGAGAGGGAGACCTTTATGCCCATTGTACAGATGAGGAAAATGTAGTGCAGAGAGTACAGTAACTTAGCCCAAGTCATATCACTTAGTAGAGGTGGTGGAGATAAGATGGGAATTCAGGAGCTCTGAACCATTCAAGAGTATTGCAATGGAAGTCACAAAAATCTGTTTAAGTCCCATTGGCACCACTTCACTTCTTTTAGAAAATGACTTCACTTCCCTGCACCTCAGACTCCTCATCTGTATAATAGGTCTGTTAAGTCCTACATCCCAGGTTGTTAGAAAGATACCATGGGATGTCAAATATAAAAGCATCCTGTACTCTTTACTGTAAAGAAATATTGCTCAACTCACTCTGCCTTCAACCTATTCATCTAAATAAAAAATAAGTGTAGATGGATAGTTAAAAATAACTAATCCTAATCTTTTTAGCTAAAAATGTCAACCTTCCACAACACAGCAATGTAATTTTTAAAAATTCAATGGAACCATTTCTCATCTGTCTTCTAAACCCATTTCCACCCCTCTTCTGGGCAAATATAAAATATTAGCAAATGACAAGACATGGACTTAAAAGACTTCATTGTCAATTAAGTCACCTGAGAGTTACAATTAAGCTCTATTAAAATGCTGGTGAAAACTTCCTAGCTTTCATTTCTCCTCTGAACATAGACTGACTGAAGAACATCAAGTCCCCCTAAGAATTACTATCTTAAACACAAAAGTTCAAAACACAGGAGGTCAGATCTAACACATATATAAGTCAGAAGATTATGTCTAAAGCCATGAGGGATTAAATATGGGGATTAAATACGTGGGTCCATGTTTGGTGGTAATGGTGGAGGGGAGTTGATTTCAGGACTTAACTTTGGCAAGGAGTTGTCCTTGATAAAGAACCAGCTCTCTTATGCTGACTGCCTAGAAAACATTACGCCATACCCAACACTTTAGCGTTCATCAGGTTCACTTAAAAAAATTATTGCATTCTAGCTGGGCTCCCTGGTTCTGCATTTGGAAATTATCACATCTTCATTATCCAAATAAACACCTGCCACTACTCACCCTAGAGTATGAGATGTAAAGTTGCCCACATGAGAAGCAGCTCCCACTTCTATTCCACGCCTGCAATTCAACATGTCTTCTCTTAGGATTTTTATTTGGGGCTATATTTAAATCACTCATGTTTTCTCTATCCATGCACATTTCTCTGTCCTACATAAGCTGTAATTTAATTCAGACCATGCCAAATATACCCTCCAGGTTTGGTAAACATCTATCTAGCTATTTGCTTGATGGGGCAACTTACAAGCAATAAATAATTTTATGTGTGTTAATTCAATAATTTATGCATTCATTAACTCATAAAACATTATTGAACACCTATTCTGTGTCAGGCCCTATGCTAGGACTTGCGAGTGAATGTGATAGACATAGTCGCTGCTGTGAAAACGCTCACTCGCAGCCTCCTTGGTGATGCAGGCAGGCAAATAAATAACTCATCTCAATCCAATAGGAGAGCTGTAATGCAAGCGTGTGCAGAACACTGGAGAAACAGAGCAGAGAGGGTGATGGGTTTTGCCTGGAGAGGCATGATGAAGGGCTTCATAAAGAAGGTGATGGTTGAGCTGTGCTTAAGGGATGAGCAAAAGTTCCAGGGCTGTAGTATGGGAGACAGGCCTTTTAGGAAGAGGGAACACTGTGAAAAAGAGCACAGAGTCCTGAAGTGGCTTCTGTAGGTATGCGTGTCATGCATGGGTAGGCAAAAGCATTAGATTACCAGGCAAAAGCCTGGTAAGGGAGGATGGGCTCAGATCATAAAAGGCCTTGAATGTCTTCCTAAGAAGTTTATTTTTGTCCAGTAAGCAATGGAACCATGGAAATATTTCCTTAAAAAATGATTCTGTCTGCAGGGTTGAAAAATGTCTCAGAAGAGAAGCAGTTACTGAAGATAAGACAATCAGCTAGACATTTACAAGGATCCAGAAGCAAGGTGATAAGTCTGAACCAGAGAGATGGAAATGGATTCAAGAGACATTATTGGATAAGAGTTGACAACATTTGTTGACAGAATGGATATATACTTCTGTGCTTTCACCATACATGCTTTGGGTGTACAAAATGTGCATAAGCTCTCTAAATGCATGAGCAAGGACACATAATTCAATGAATAGATCACCAACGATTACAAATAAACAGCATTAAGGTGCTAGGGGAAGAAAAATCTCTTCTGGATTCTGAGTCAGCAGTGCATGGGCTGGGGTTCTAGCACCGCTGCTTAGTAACTCTGTGGACATCAGACAAGTCCCTTCTCCTCTCTGAGTCTCTCTTGTCTCTCAAATGGAGGGGCTGGCTGAGATGATTTAACTCCAAGGCCCCCTCCAGCTGTCACACTCTGTGAGTCAAACACTTGTGATAAGGGGCCATCAACGCTGGCCTTTCCCAAGCTGAGTCACCTCTGAAGCAGGGATTATTCTGGGGGCTGACCAAGAAATGTGCATCCAGTCACTGCAGTGACATCCCCAGTTTTATTCTCCAGAGTTAGGGTCCAGTAGGTCTGATCTGAGGCTGGGGCAGCTCCTTGATTACTCGTTCTTCTCCAAGCTTCTGCACCTCAAGTGCTCACCCAGATGGGGGGCCATAAGACCCTGCCTGGGCTTCTACAGAAGAAAGAGCCCTCTCCCATAGGCATTCAGGTCTCTGGATTTCTCAGAGTCTGTTTTTCCTGTTTGTGTTAATTTTCACAGCCAGTTATCCTATTTACATTTTTCTAAAGCTGTTCACAGGACTTGTTGTCAGTTATCCTATTTACATTGTTTTAAAGCTGTTCACAGGACTTGTCAGTTATCCTATTTACATTGTTCTAAAGCTGTTTACAGGACTTGTCCACAAGAATTCAACGTTCTTAAGTGGCTTTCGCTGACTTCCTCTTCCCCAAGCACAGCTGGGAATCCCCTTCCCTCAGACAGCAGCAAGCCTTCCTTCTCAGGTCACCAATGCAGGGCTCCATCTCTGCCTATTTCTAGTCACCTAACTCATAGTGAGCACCCACTGTGCGTCATTGAGCACTTCTGCAAGTCAAGGGTTTCATGCAGCCACTCCACCAGGTGGATGTGACTTCCCCATTTTAATGATGTGGAAAGTGAGGTTTGGTGAAGAAAATGTGCCTTATCAAAGGCTGAGCTTCTAGGATGTGGCCAAGCCAGGATTCAAACTGAGGTCTGTCTGAGTTCCGGTCTGCTGCATTCTCCTTCCTGTGACCAGAGTTAAGCTCTATTAAATGACAGACTGCACAAATATGAACTATCTGCAAAGCCTCCAAGCAGATCTGCCATCCTTTTCTACCCAAGGAAGACATAGTCCAGGTTTACTTTAGGCCAAGATACCAAAAGAGGAAACAGGCCATAACTCCCCTAACCAAGTGCACTCATGTTAGACATCAGATTCTTTCCAATGTTTCCTGATAAATGTGTAATTTACTGCTATCAGTTGGTATTGTATAGCAATTAAAATGAAGAAACCCTGTGAATCAGTTTGCCTGGCCTTGAATTCCCTTTATAATATAGTAGCCAAGTAACCTTGGCCAAATTACTGAGACTCTCTAAGCCTCAGCTTCCCATGTATAAATGGGGATGAGAATAATACTTACCTCATAGTGTTATGAGGAGCAAATAAGATGATGCATGGAAAGCACTTAAAACAGACTCTGGCATATGGTGTGAGCTCGATAAATCCCAGCTATTATTATTATCATAATATCTGTGCATAAATCTATCTGCAACTCTAATTGTTTTCTTAGGACAGATTCCAACAAGTAAAATCACTGTATCAAAGGGTGGCTCCTCATACATAGTGCTTAATTATCCTCCAGAAATTTTAGAGCGATTTATATACCCAATAGCAGAGCCTGCAGGAGTAAATGCAACATCCTTCATAGCAATAGACTCAAAAGATATATCAAATGCAGATGACTGTGATACTACAAAAGATGTTTGAATATCCTGCGGTTTTCATGTATATGGGTATAAACTTTCTCTTTTTAATGCCCTTTCAGTCATGGAAAGAACCAAGGCCCTGCTGGTCATCCCAAAGGCCTTTGATTTAAGAGAAAAGAGTTCAATTCCAGGTTCTTATGAGCTGTGAGATTTTAAGCTGGTTCATTCCTCTCTTGTTGCTCAAAAAAAAAAAGTTTTTTTTAAACAGGAATTATATATGGGCAGTATCTTCCTGTCATACTTGTTGTACCTACATATGCAGAGTAAATGTGACTATCCCTGGTGATAATAACTGTCAATATTTTTCTTTTTACATTTTTCTATTAATGCATTGCAATTGTGATTGTTCATATTATTATAGATATTTATTAATATAGCTATTCATATGCTCATGTCCAGTGTAGTTCAACTCCAACTCTACCAAAATCTTGCCATGTGACCAAGGGTTAGTGACTTCACCATTTTGGGTCTCTTTTTTTAATAACATTGAGGGGCTTGATCCAGATGATCTCCAGTGTCCATGTTTCTCTCATCTTGCCTTTCCATTTTTCAGGGTTTCTCAACTTCAACACTACTGACATGATCTGATTCAGATAATTCTGTTTTGTGCTGAAGGGAATGGGGTGGGGTGTGGCTGTCCTGAGCACTGCAGGAGTTTTAGCTGCATCCCTGGTCTCTACTACCCACAGGCGTCCGGCCCAAGTTGTGACAACTGAAAATACCTTCAGACATCACCAAATGTTCCCAGAGGGTCAAAATCATCCCCGGTTAATAATCTGCCATATGCTTAAGGGTGTCAGGCTTTGAGCGTTAAAGATTTGATTTAGAAGGGCTTTAATATATCTTCCAATCACAGAATTCCAAATGACCATGATGCCGTGACTGATTTGAACTTACACTCATGCACATGATACGTATTTGGGAGAAGCCCTTGTCATCTCCAGTGTCTCTTCCACCTCTTGATTTCCACAGGGATAGTCATCTACATCTTTGCTAGAGGTGACAGCTGAAATATCCAAACCATGGGCTTGGGGTCCATCTGACCTAGTCACCAGTCAGGTGCCTCTGGGGAAATTCTTTAGTTTTTCTAATCTTTTTTTCACTTGTGAAATCTGGATGACACCTCAGAGCCACTCGAGGATGACAAAATGTGACAAGCACAAGTGTACCTAGTACCAAGGATGAGGACGAATCCATTTGAGGGAAGCTGTTGCTTTCATTGTTTCCTATTGAATATGATTACCACTCCATTATTTCCCAGCCATAGCCTCGGGGTTTGGACCAAGTTTTCTTTTGACTTAGGTGTTTCCAGTCAGAGTCAAAGAGAAACTCCTAAGGAATGGAGAGGACAAATGGTCCCGTTAGCAGTCAGAGGAATGCTGTGGACTAAGAGAGTGACTTTGGTTCCAGCTGAAATGTCAGCAGAGCGCTGGGAGAAAAGAATCTGTTTAGCAGGTGTGTTTGGAATCTGGCAGAGAGAGCTGGGTCAGGTCCAGGACCACTGAGCTGTTCTGAATGCCTTCTATGTTGACTCTCTGGGACTGAGACTCAGGAGTTAAAGGAGAGAACGTCTAAGGTAAACACACAACAGCCAGACAGTGGCTAGAATTTTTCCTCAGGCTTTCTGTGTCTCTTGCAGAACACCAAGAGGCCGGCAACATGAGTGTGGCCTGAGTCTGACGCCTTCGCCCACCCTCTTCCAGATCACCTGATCCGAAAGAAGTTACGAAAATAGCTCAGAATCTGGGCCTGCCTGGAAGAGACATAAAGATTCATTTACATGGGAAGGTGACTGCTCTGAATATCCACAGACGACGAATCTATGCTAATGGTTCAGTCTCCCACAAATCTGGGATTTATATAACTGGTTCCTACCCTTGTTCCTTGCCAGCAGAAATGCTTGAATTATCTTAATTCCAGAATGTAAATTATTCCAATTCTGAGGCCATCATTTTAAAGCTGTCAAAGTCAATATTTTTAACAGCCTAGAAAAAAATTACAACTGGAAAATGTCTAAACAAGTTGTGCTTGAGGTCTTGAGACAACTTCTGGCAAATATCTGTGCTGAGGTGGATAAATACCCTCCACTAATTTCACAATGAAGGAAGAACATAAATTTCTCTCAACACCAATTCGTGTGCCAGAGTAAATATGTTCGTCCACGGGCATTGACCACTTTTAATCTGTTACCTTCCATTTATGGACTAACCATTTGTCTTTATTTATTAATTTTCTTTTTTTTGAGACAAAGTCTTGCTCTATCACCCAGGCTGAAGTGTAGTGGCGAGATCTCGGCTCACTACAACCTCCACCTCCCAAGTTCAAGCAATTCTCCTGCCTTACCCTCCCAAGTAGCTGAGATTACAGGCACCTGCCACGATGCCCAGCTACTTTTTGTATTTTTAGTAGAGATGGGGTTTCACGATGTTGGACAGGCTGGTCTCGAACTCCTAGCCTCAAGTGATCTGCCCTCCTCGGCCTCCCAAGGTCCTGGGATTACAGGCATGAGCCACCATGCCCAGCCCCATTTATCTTTTAATGTGAAGATTTTTAAAATATATTAATTCTTAAAATAATAATATTCAATACTTGGTCATGAAAAAATAGGAAAAAATCCTTCCCTCGCCTCCATTCTTTCTAAATTTTCATTTCATTTCTATTTTAATCCACTTCATCCATTATTCTCTGAGTGTTACTGTGTGCTGGACACAGATCTATGGATGCTGAGATCTGTAAGAACTTCCTCAAGGTGAGAGAGGAGGCTTTCAAAGGAACTACATCACACTTGATCAGGAAGGAAATGGCAGCTCCTTTTTTAATGTACATATCAGTTTCCATGCAGGTGAATCATCCTCTACCTTATTAACTCTTTCATACAGAAACCTGGGATTGAAGGAAATGAGAATGGAAGGAAAAGACTATACAAAGAAGAATCACATTTATGGTTTGCCTTTGGGGTAGAAGCCATTCTTTTGCACCTGGGGAACTGGCCAGGCTGTAAGAATATGGTGCCAACCAAGTGGCACCTCTGCCCACCATTGCTCTAGATGCCAGGCTAAATGGTCCTTGTGAAATACGGCTGGAAAAATCTCTGTTATGGGCCCATCTCCTATTCAGAGGCTGGAAAACACCCCATTCCTGTAGCTCTGAAGCAGGATTAATTGATTGGTCTCATATGAACCTAAAAGCTGTTAAGAGCAAGGAGGATGAAAAGCAATTCAAATTGCTTTATTACCATTTTCTAGTAAAGTACCAGTTTAGTTCTCAGCCCTACTGTGAAGCAGCGGGTTTCCAGATATTGACTGTGCTGGCATGTGCTCCTAGAAGAGAGGAAACGCCTGGGTCTGAAAAGCAGAAACATCTGCTCAGATCTCTGGCAGGCCTGTTGCTGGAGCTGCTGGGGGTGGTGGTGGTGGGGGGGTGGTGGGTTCCCTCCAGGTGGTGTCACTGCAAGCAGGAGACAGAGGAAGCACTCCCAATGGGGGAGTTCTTGTCTGTGGGTAGAGACTCCTCCTTTTCCTTTTTTTTAAAGACATCATTCACTTAATGTGGGGGAAAAAGATTATAAATAGTTTTATAAGGCAATCTATATACTTTCTGATAGAGGGCAGCAAGGCGACTATAGTAGCTACAATGATGATGATAATAATAATAGCCATCACATACTGCTTGTATATGCCAGGCACAGGGCACTTTACATATCTTAACTCATTTAATTCCAAACAACACTACAAGGTAGGTACCACTATCATCTCCCTTTTATAGATGAGAAAACTGAGGCACAGGAGGGAAATAACTTGCTCAAGTTCACCAGCTAGTAAGTGTAAGAGTCAAGCTTTAAGCCCAACTAGTCTAGCTGTAGGGTTCCTAGCTATAGTAATAATCACTGCTGTGTGCTAGGTATCAGATCTAGCATATACCACACACATTACTTTCTTTGATCTTTACAGAAATACTATCAGTCAGATATTACCATTCCCAATTTTCAAATGGGCACACTCCAGTTTAGAGTTGTGAAATAATTTTTTCAAGATCATGAGGATAAGAAATGTCAGAGGCTGGATTAACCCCAGATCAAGCTGTTTTTCCAATGCCTGATACCTCTCCATGACCTGAAAGTTTAGAGTTGAGCTACACTTTCTCTATGGGAATCTAGCCCAGAATGCCAATAACAAATCAATCAGTAATAATATTATTAATAATAGTTGCCATTTATTGAGCACCTGCAATTCAATAAGGCCTGTCTTAGACATAAATGTCATCATCACAAATCCCTGCAAGTCAGGTTGTTATTGTCCTCATAAATCAAAGATGAAAACATGAAAATCCAGTGCATTTCTACACACTAACAATGAACAATGTGAAAAGGAAATTTAAAAAATTCCGTTTACAATAGAATCAAAAAGGATAAAATATTTGGGAATACACTGACACCAGAAGTGCAGGCAATAAAAGAAAAAATAGATAAATTAAACTTCATCAAAATAAAAAACTTTAGTGCATCAAAGGATACTATAAAGAGAGTGAAAAGGCAAGTCATAGAATACAAGGAAATACTTACTAATCATAAGGAACTGACATTCACAATACATGAAGAACTCTTAAACTCAACAACAACAAAAAGGCAAACAACCTGATTTTAAAATAGGCAAAGGGCTTGAATCAACATTTCTCCCAAGAAGATATACACATGGCCAATAAGCACATGAAAAAAATGCTCAGTACCATTAGTCATTCAGGAAATGCAAACCAAAACCGAAATGAGATACCTTTTTACACCCATTAGGATGGCTATTACCAAAACAAAACAAAAACAAACTCCCCTCCAAAAAAAAAAAAACAGAAAATGACAATGACAACTGTTAAGTGTTAGCAAGGATGTGAAGAAATTAAAACCATTGTGCACTGTTGGTAAGAATGTAAAATGGTGCAGCCACTGTGGAAAACAATATGGCAGTTACTCAAAAGTTAAACATAGAATTACCATATGATCCACAAATTCTACTTCTAGATATATACCCAAAATAATTGAAAGCAGGAACTCAAACTGCTATTAATATTTGCACACTCATGTGTACAGCAGCATTATTCACAATGACCAAAAGCCAGAAACAACCTAAATGTCCACTGACAGATAAATAAACAAAATGTAGTACACATATAATAGAATATTATTCAGCCTTAAAATGGATTGAAATTCTGGCATATGCTATGACATCAATGAATTTTGAAGATGTTATACTAAGTGAAATAAGCAAAACACCAAAGGACAAACAGTATGATTCCACTTACATGAAGTATCTAGAAAAATCAAATTCACAGAGAAAAAGAGTAGAATGACGGTTGCGTGGGCCTTGTGGAAGGGGACCACGGAAAATTGTTGTTTAATGGGTACAGAGTTTCAGTTTGAGATGACAGAAAAGCTCTGGAGATGGATAATAGTGATGAATGCATAACAATGTGAATATACCTAGTGCCACTAAACTGTACACTTTAAAGGGACTGAAATGGTAAGTTTTATGTTATGTATATTTTACCACCAAAAACAAACAAACAAAAAAACAACTAAAACCAAGATGGCAAGACTTGCTCAAGATCACACAGTGAGCATGCTACTGGCACAGCCTATGCTAGAATTCCCAGGTTCCTGAAGCCCAGTCTAGTGCTATTCATATCTGTGCTGTAAACTAAAATAGGGCTTACAGTTACAGAGTATTTGTAAACACAGTTAAATATCAAGTATCTTAAACAAAATGAACCAAACTCATCACAAACTGTTTTCCCCAGACTCTCTGAATAAAACAAGAAACTCACAACAAAAACATATAATTGGTGGGGGTGGTGATGATAGTTGTAATGATAGCAAACCTTCCATGCCTTGAGGCATGGGCCAAAGTGCATTTAACTCAGTGCCCTGAACCCTATACTCTAACTATAAAAATATCCCAAGCCCATTACTAAACACACTTAGGCTTTACTTTTATTTTTACTGTAGTAAAATGGGACTAAGTAAAAACTCAGTCATAAAGCCACTGATCTCCCAATTAATTGTGTTTTTTCTCTTCAGATCCCTTTGTAGTAATGTATTTCTAACAGAGAGAATTCAAGAAAGTATCTGAAAATATTTACAGTTTCAGGGCTGGAGCTGGATTGGCCTCCTCTTCCTCCTCTTCTTTTTTCCTTCCCACTGTCAGATGGATACTTGTTTGGCAACTGAAGAAACTGTTTACACCATGCTAACACTTGCCTTGCAAAGGCAAATAAGACTATTATGGATATCATTTATTATAGCTGTTTGACCATTCACTCAGTGTCTACTTCCCTTAGTCAAGGGTTAGGAAAGAGAGAACAGCAAGAAAAACACTAAGGTTTGTAGAACAGGATTACAGCAAAAACTAGGTCGCCAACTCCAATCAAATAATTCTAAATTGACATATATTATTCTGCTTCACGCCTTACGGTATTGTTTTCAGCAACATTCTTGCTGATAAAACTGATTTGTCTTTTTAGTAATGTTCAGATTTATCAGAAATCCTAGCTATGAAGTGCTTTCAATAAATTAAAACATTAAATTCCCAATTACATTTCCCTTTCAGTCTCAAAATTTTTTTAAAAAATGTTCTTAGGATGCAGCTTCAGGTGTAAAGTGAATTTTAATTGCTCCATTTTTCCACAATAACTTCAATATGGTTATTGATTTTTCTTAAACTGGATTTAAGTGTTTGGAGAGATGAAAATTGTTTCCTCTCTCCCCTTTCCACTTTGTTTCTTCATTTCTATTGTCCATGAAGAATACATGTTAACTATAAAGAATATTTGTGGTATCAAATTTCAAGCTTTAAAAAAAACCATCTTTCATTTTTTTAAAGTTCAAGCATTTTTATTGAAATTTAAAATAAAAAGAAAATTTTATATGTCATATAATTCCAACCAGCTATTAATCACCTTCATCCTAAAGAAACGTACTTTTCTGCCCTTTTAAAACATTGAAGTTCGAGGACTTGAAAATCCCTCCTGGCTCTAGGAACATTTCAGCCCTCCATTCTGTTTATGTCCATGAGAAACAGTGGTTATTAATTTAAGCTTTGCTAATTCAGATCTGTAAACTATTGCTTATGTTTATTGCTGTTGAATAATTAGATTATCTGGATTTGTACTGCTAACAGATGGGGAAAATACCATCTGAACATGTTACCTTGTCAATTCTTCTTTATATATTTCTTGAGCACACAATCCTTCTCTGCTCCAAATATGAAGGGGTTAACAGACATTTAACTGGCTGCTCACTTCTGAGTTAATAATTGTTCTCTAGTAGCCAGTTTCTCCAGAGGGAAACACACGTGGTAGATGTTTACCTGGAAATCTCTAGCTGGTCCTATTGTCACTCCCATACCCTTCTCCCTGGCCCAGCCTCTACCCACCTTCTCATAGCAAAATACTCATCTTCCAGTCAATTTTCAGTGACATGTAAACTGATATTAAAAAACTGTTGGCCGGGAGCAGTGGCTCACCCCTGTAATCCCAGCACTTTTGGTGGCCAAGGTGGTTGGATCACGAGGTCAGGAGTACGAGACCAGCCTGACCAACATGGTGAAACCCCTTCTCTACAAAAAAATACAAAAATTAGCGGGGCATGGTGGCGCACACCTGTAATCCCAGCTACTCAGGAGGCTGAGTCAGGAGAATCACTTGAACCCAGGAGGCTGAGGATGCAGTGAGCCGAGATGGCGCCACTGCACTCCAGCCTGGGCGACAGAGAGAGACTCTGTCTCAAAAATAAATAAATAAATAAAATAAAATAAAAAATTGTTAAGCAATATTTGGCAAGCACATTATGGTTTACAAAGCACTCTTTTATCAGATTTGCATTTTACATTTTTCCTAAAATGTATTCATTCTTTAATACAGAGAAGAAAAACCATTTCTTTATAACTCCACAAACACGTAACCCCTCTTACCATTTCTTAAGCAAAAACAATACGTTTATAATCTCTAATGACAGAAAGCAGATCAATGGTTTCCTGGGCCCAAGAGTAGGGGAAATGACTGAATGGGGGAAGAAGAAACTTTTCAGGGCAATTAAAGTGTTCCATATCTCAATCATGGTGGCTGCACGGCTATATTCATTTGTCAAAAGTCGCCACACTATACACTTAAAATGGGTACATTTTATGATATGTAGATTATACCTCAATAAAATTGATTAAAATTTTAGAAATACTGATATATTTATTAGGATAATCAAATTGGGCTCCCAGCTAAATATGTTAAATTTATTTGACTTTTCTCTTTCCCATAGCCTCACTAGAATGGCAGTAAAGGAATGGATGAAAGACATCCAAGGACAAAGAGAAGAGAAAAACATTTTCAGAACATGAGAATTCAACAGATTTCAGAACTTAGCCTAGCAGAGGAAATTACAAACTCAGTGCCGACAGATGGATGGAAAAATCATGAGAAGTTAGTGGGCAGTTTCCCCTGCAGAACACTTAGGAGAAAGAAGTAGGGGGAAGCTTAGTACTTGGAGGGAGCAGTGAAACATAGAAATGAGAGAGAGACTGGCTAAAAGTCTATATGGAGAGGAATGGGACTCCCCAAGCCCTCCTTCAGTATAGGCAGTCAGATAATTACCCCTTCTTATCCTCCCCAGTGGTCAGACAGAGGCTTATTTCAGAGCGACCCCAGACTCAGAGGCACCAGGCACAGTGGCGAGCAAGGCTGAGGTGGCCGACTGAGACAGGCCCTTTACAAGGAAGCTGACCTCCTGAACCGCAACCCCTTCAGCCCTCTCCAGATTACCACCACAGTTCAGTCATCTAAAATGTTTCAAGTAGAAGATTTAAAGATCTATCTCTGGAAAAATGAAGTAGTTCTGGAGACCATGCAACCAAGTTCCATGATTTCACCAGTGGTCAAGCTGTCTTGGTCCTTGATCTCCCCAAACTGAAGCCCACAGGTTCACAAGCAGTCACCCAACACACATACACACACACACACACACAAACACACACACACCATCCAAATAATGGCTTCATTTTAAACAAAAGCAATCATTAGGCATCGAAGAAATACCATCAACATTATTTTTTCAAATAAATTAGTTGAAACAAACTTTTTTTAAAATTATACTTTAAGTTCTGGGATACATGTGTAGAACGTGCAGGTTTGTTACACAGGTACACATGTGCCATGGTGGTTTGCTGCACCCATCAATCCATCATCAATATTAGGTATTTCTCCTAATGTTATCCCTCACCTAGTCCCCCACCCCACGACAGGCCCCGGTGTGTAATGTTCCCTGCCCTGTGTCCATGTGTTCTCATTGTTCAACTCCCACTTATGAGTGAGAACATGCGGTATTTGGTTTTCTGTTCCTGTGTTAGTTTGCTGAGAATGATGGTTTCCAGCTTCATCCATGTCCCTGCAAAGGACATGAACTCACCCTTTTTATGGCTGCATAGTATTCCATGGTGTATATATGCCACATTTTCTTTATCCAGTCTATCATTGATGGGCATTTGAGTTGGTTCCAAGTCTTTACTACTGTGAATAGTGCTTCAGTAAACATATGTGTGTATGTATCTTTATAGCAGAATGATTTATAATCCTTTGGATAAATACCCAGTAATGGGATTGCTGGGTCAAATGGTATTTCTGGTTCTAGATCCTTGACGAATCACCACACTGTCTTCCACAATGGTTGAACTAATTTACACTCCCACCAACAGTCTAAAAGCATTCCTATTTCTCCACATCCTTTCCAGCATCTGTTGTTTCCTGACTTTTTAATGATCACCATTCTAACTGGTGTGAGATGGTATCTCATTGTGGTTTTGATTTGCATTTCTCTAATGACCAGTGATGATGAGCTTTTTTTCATATGTTTGTTGGCCGCATAAGTGTCTTCTTTTGAGAAGTATCTGTTCATATCCTTCGCCCATTTTTTGATGGGGTTTTTTTTTCTTGTAAATGTGTTTAAGTTCCTTGTAGATTCTGGATATTAGCCCTTTGTCAGATGGATAAATTGCAAAAATTTTCTCCCATTCTGTAGGTTGCCTGTTCACTCTGATGATAGTTTCTTTTGCTATGCAGAAGCTCTTTAGTTTAATTAGATCCCATTTGTCAATTTTGGCTTTTGTTGCCATTGCTTTTGGCATTTTAGTCTGAAGTCTTTGCCCATGCCTATGTCCTGAATGGTATCGCCTAGGTTATCTTCTAGGGTTTTTATGGCTTTAGGTTTTATGTTTAAGTCTTTAATCCATCTTCAGTTAATTTTTGTATAAGGTGTAAGGAAGGGGTCCAGTTTCAGTTTTCTGCTTATGGCTAGGCAGTTTTCCCAACACCATTTATTAAATAGGGAATATTTTCCCCATTGCTTGTTTTTGTCAGGTTTATCAAAGATCAGATGGCTATAGATGTGTGGCATTATTTCTGAGGCCTCTGTTCTGTTCCATTGGTCTATATATCTGTTTTGGTTCCAGCACCATGGAAGTCAGGTAGCATGATGCCTCCAGGTTTGTTCTTTTTGCTTAGGACTGTCTTTGCTATATGGGCTCTTTTTTGGTTCCATAGGAAATGTAAAGTAATTTTTTTCTAATTCTGTGAAGAAAGTCAATGGTAGCTTGACGGGGATAGCATTGAATCTATAAATTACTTTGGGCAGTATGGCCATTTTCATGATACTGATTCTTCCTATCCATGAACATGGAATGTTTTTCCATTTGTTAAACATTAAAAAAAAAATTGGAAAAAGAGATGAATAGAGGGAGCTTAAGAAAGGTTTTTTTCTTTTTTTCTTAAAGAATCTTACATTTAATATCTTTAGAGTGGTAAGAAATGATATTACATCCATAAAATAAGAAATGGGTGCTATAGAAAGGAAATAGAGAAAAAGAAAACACTCAAGTGTTTAAAATATATTTGCCTAAGTAAAAGTTCATTGCAAGTATTGTAGTAAAGAAAGTCCACAAAAAGCAAAACAGAAAGACACAAAGATGGGAAAGAGGATCAATCAGGTGGAGCAGCATCCCAATAATGATAGTTAAAGAAAAATATAACCAAGAAAAAGGAAGGGAAGAAATAAAGAATACGAAGCTTGACATTAAAAGGGCCCGTGCAGGCCTAGGACCAAAACTGCAACAGATTCACAAAATGCAAATTATCATAATATTTTAAGCTGGGCACAGTGGCTCACACCTGTAATCCCAGCACTTTGGGAGGCTGAGATGGGCAGATCACCTGAGGTCGGGAGTTCAAGACTAGCCTGACCAACAAGGAGAAACCCTGTCTCTACCAAAAATATAAAATTAGCTGGGCATGGTGGTGCACGCCTGTAATCCCAGCAACTTGTGGGGCAGAGGCAGTAGAATCACTTGAACCTGGGAGGCGGAGATTGCAGTGAGCCAAGATCACGCCATTGCACTCCAGCCTGGGCAACAAGAGTAAAACTCTGTCTCAAAAAAAAAAAAAAAGAAAGAAAAGAAAAGAAAAAGAATTAAGACACCAGAGATAAAAAGAAAATACAAAAACTTTCAGAAATAAATTGCAGGTCACAGACAAGGAACCGATATAAGAGGCATTCGACTTATCAGCATCTGCATGGATTTTTAGTCAATGAAGCATGGTCTTAAAAATTTGGAGAGAACTTTTTTTCAAGGTAGAATTTTATATCAAGCTCAATTATCATTCAGGTTAGAATGAAAAATGGAAAATTTTTTATACATGGAAAGCCTCAAAAATGTTTACTTCTTAGGCAAATTTCTCTAGAAGCTACTAAAAAAAATATACCTCAGCAAGAGAAAAACTGTGTCAAGAAAATGGAAGTCAAAAGACTTAGGAATTAAAGGCTTCAACACTGGAGAATGCAAATGGAATTTTCTGATGTGCACCAGGCCTAGAGAGAAACTGTAAGAAAGAAATCCCTATGGAAAAAAATATATACAATTGATAGGTTTTATCTAATGTATTTAAGCATTTGGAAGCATTACTGCTGGTTAATCTGTTTGACATATTTGTTGGTGTGTTTAGAAAATTGTTAGTGCGATAAGTAAATAGAAAATTGAATAAATAAAATATAAGACAATAACCACATAAAAAACAAAAAGTTAAATGAGAAAGTTCATATCATACTTGGCTAGGCACTAAACTAAATATTCGTGATCGTGTTATTCTTTCTAGAGATTTGGGCAGAAAATGTTATATAATTGTATTGAGAGGCTGGAGGATGAGAAAAAGAAGACATGGGTTTATAAGAGCTATAAATCCTCAAGTAGCATAATAGAAATTTAATATGTAATTTGTAAAAAGTAGACATTTGAATGAAAATGTCAGAAGAAACTGCTAAAAACTTAGAAGTAGCTCCCTCTGAGAAGTAGAATGGGTATGGAAAGGGTTGGGGCAAGCAGCTGTCATATTTCATTTATGCCTTTGGCACTACTTTATGTTTAAACTATGTATGTCACACTCATGATTTTTAGTGTAAAAGGAAGGATGTCTCCTGTTTTCACTATTACAAATAATATTACAAAGCACTGTTACATCCATTGTCTCATCTGGTTTTTCACAAGAGTTCTCTGAGATACAATTTACTGTTAGCCCTATATTATAAGTGAGGACATTGAGAATCATGGAAATGAAATGAGTTGTGGCAAGTCTACAGATTGTAAATCCTTACCTTTCCCTCTATCCGAAGGCTAAAGAACAAAATTGTAGTATTATTCTATTTACAACTCTGCCTGGCTCCAAAGAGGTACTTAAGGTAAATTATGAAGACGAATATAACATTGTTTCATAAATTGAATTAAAAATAAATCCTCTCAGAAGCACTTAGGAGAAGATATATAGATAGTGGATTCAAAGGTAAGGTTAGTTTAGCAAATATAGTTCAGAAAATCCTATGTATCACAAGAAAAGTGATTCTAAAATTTGATCCTGAGCTTCCTAGCAGCCAATGCTAAAAAGGAAGCAAGAATAACAAACTGGACCATTCACTATATCCACAATATAAGACTATATCAGATTATCAGATTTTTTTAAAGAATTTTTATCTGTCCCTGATGCTGAAATCAGAATTTACTTTCACCTTCTAATCTTCATTAAGAAGAAATGATATCATGTAATGAGCAATGTCCTCAACATTGTTCTCAAAATATGTCAGTGATAAGTATAATTTGTGTTCTTCAATGTCGAGCAATTTCATCACACCAAAAACAATTCGACTAAAAATAAATGAACAGAGGCAGGAGAAGGGGCATCAAAATATGACATGCCCTAGGTATAAGAAAAAAAACTCCAAGCAGGTATATAGTAATGTTCCTATTAGCCATATATACACAAACACATATGCACACACACAGTCTAAGTAAAAGTTCATTAGAAGTATTGACACACAGATGACATCTATAAATGGTTTGGAAACAACTCGCCTTCCTGGTCCACTTGCCAGGAGTAACTAACTACAAAATATCCACAACCTAACAGATTTATGCCATTTGTTGTATAGATTATACATGAAAAATGAGATTAAAATTGATTTATGTATCCAAAATAGTGACATTTGGATTGATCAACAGTCATTCTTTCAGTTATAGACAATTTTATCTCAAATATATTCCTGATCCTTAATAATAAAGTCATATTGTCTGTTAAATGCTGACTCTAGATGAGGGAGATTGGAATTATCTCTCCTTTTAATGACTTCAGTTCTATCCCAAGGGAAAGAGTTGTCCAAATTCCAAGACATTTCACTGGGCCACAGTACCAGGGAGTGTTGGTTTAACTGAGCCAACATGAAGAAAACTCTTAGTCTCAGAGAGAAGAAATTAAATATTCCCACTGTATTGGTTTGCTAGGGCCGCCATACAACTTATCACAAACCGGATGGCTAAAAACAATAGAAATTTATTGTCCCACAGTTTTGGAGGACCCCACTTTCAAAACAAGGTTTTGGCAGGGCTGTGCACTCTGTTACTCCCTCTGAAGATTATAGGAAATAATCTTTGCCTTTTCCTAGCTCCTGGTGGTTACCAGTAATCCTTTATATTCTTTGTAGCTGTATCACTTTAATCTCTGCCTCTGTCTTCCTAGGGCCTTATTATAAGGATACCAGTTATTGGATTTAAGGCCCACTCTAATCCAATATGACTCCATTTAACTAATTCTATCTGCAAAACCCTATTATTTCCAAATAAGGTAGTATTCTGAGGTTCCTACTGGACACGGATTTGGAGGGAACACTATTCAATCAAGCACACACACATTCAACAAGACTCAACGAGTGCCAGATAGGAAATACAGGGGGCTATGGGAACACATGAACTGGGACCTAATTCAGACTCAGAAGAGTCAAGAAAGTTCAGAATCTAGGAAGACAGTGAGTTGGTGAATGCTCAGACCAAGAGTTTACTTGTCAAGGGACAACTTCACCCCTTCTGCCCAAAGACACCCACCAATAGCTTCTAAACACTTTCTCTCTAACTCTTCATTTGCCAAGGTCAAGCCCCCAAACTATCTCCTTCATAAAGCGTTTTCTGATTCTTCTCTGTCCAGATTCATCCCTCCTTTCTCTATTAACTACTGCTTACCATTTGTGACTTTAAAGGAACAGAAACTGGCATACATTAAGTGTCTTCTGTGAGCCAGGGATATGCTAGTCACTTTTACATACCCAGTAATTCCTGTAAAGTGAGATCCCAATTTTAGAGGGGGAAAAACTGAGACTCGGAGTTCAATGACTCATCTAAGAACACACAGCTCCTAGTCAATCTGGACCCAAATGTCATGCATGATGTTTCAATGCACACTTCCTGCATTTAGGGCTTCACATTGTCCTAGACTTCTGCCTCCCCAGGTCTGCAGTGAGCTAGTTGAGAGCAGGGATTGTGTTTTACTCCTGGGGCATGGAAGAAATGCTGCTAGAACACAGTTGAAGGTCCCATCACATTGAATGCCCACAAGGGTTCCAGAGGTCTGTGAGTGCACCCATAGCTCTCTGCATCTTCAACACACCTCCCTCCAACCCTTCTTTTCTCCCAGGAGAAAACCAGATCGGCTGGGAGTGTTTGCACCAAGAAAAATCCATCTCTTAGCAAACATTCTTCCAGTCCCTAAGGATTCGTCATAAGAGCTTTCCACTGCACCCGCTCACAGGGCAGACAATGTGCTAAACCAGCTGTTTAACACAAGAGGCTCCCCATCCCTGGAGACCTGAGACAAGCTCCTGAGACGTGCAGTATGTCTCCATTAGCCAAGCAACCGTCTTTGGGTGTGCTTTCTATTCCATATTCCTGTGTTCATTAACTATAAGCCTGCCAGAAACGCAGGGTACCAGCTTTTCTAAGCGGTGAAGAGGGAAGTGTGCCTTACATATATTCACATAGATCTGTGTTTTTTAGGACCCCGTATTACAGAGGCTTGTCACCACCGTAACCAATGCAGACTTAGCTGCAGGGCCTGCTGCGATGTCCATGCTGAGGCAACTGAGAAAGGTGAGTAAACAAGGACAGGTATGGCTGGGAGAGAAGGGCTGACCCAGCGGTGGGACAGGTTCCAAGGGAGAGAGCAGCCATCCAAATCCTAATGTTCAAAGTGGCAAGAGAGGGACTACAGGACAGCAGGGAAGACCTCAGACTCCAAAGTCAGATAAAACTGGTTTGGAATTCTGGTATTGCCCCTTAGCGACTTTCTGACCTTGGGCAATTTACATAACCTCTTATGCCATGCCTTAGAAGTAATAAAAGAACCTCCAAATTGTTCTGCGGTTAGAAAGAGATACTGCTTGTAAAGTTCTTAGCACATGGCCTGGTCAATGGTAAACTATAAGTAATGCTCTTTCCAGACTGATTTCAGTCTCCAGGGGAAGAAGGGGTCTTGGCTGGTAGACAGTAACCTCCCATCAGAGGTGCCCTCACAGAAAATGGTAGCTCCACAACCAGGTTACAACAACGTCCAAATTAAGCAGAATTGGGTCAGGGCCTGCATTGTCCAATACGGTAGCTGCTAGTCACAAGTGGTTCCACATTGAGATGTGAAGTGTAAAATCCACTGGATTTGAAGGACTTAGTGTACAAAAAGTTAAATATTTCAGTAATCTTTCTTATACTGCCTACATATTGAAGTGATAGTACTTTGGTTATATTGGGTTAAATAAAATATATTATTAAAATTATGTTTAAATAAATTTTATTGTGTATATTTGTGGTATATAACATGATGTTATTGGGATACATATATATAGTAAAATGGTCACTATAGTAAAGCAAATTAATATATCCATCAGCTCACATCGTTACCCTTTTTTTCTGGCAAGAGCTGCTAAAATCTATTCATCTAGCCGAATTTCCAAATACAGAACAATTTTATTACCTATCATCCTTATGTGGTGCATTAGATCTCTAGAACTGTTCATCCTACATATCTGCCTCTTTGTATCCTCTGACCCATATCTCCCCATTTTCTCCCTACCACCGCCAAATTAATTTCACCTGTTTCTTTTTCCATTTTTTAATGAGGCTACTAGAAAAATTAAAAGTTACATGTGTGGCCCAGGGCCCATAAGCCTGGCTCACACTACATTTCTGTTGGACCATGTTCATTTAGGCCAGCAAGTGTCCCAGCCAATGGGTTGGACTCAGAGGCTGCTATAGTTTGAATATTTGTGTCCCCTCCAAAATTCATGTTGAAACTTAATCTCCAATACAACAGCATTTAAGAGTAGGGCCTTCAGGTGGTGATTTGGTCATAAGGGCTTCTCTTTCATGAGTGGGATTAAGGCCTTTATAAATGAGCCTTAACACAGCATTCAGCTTTTTTTGACACAGCATTCATCCCCTCCAGAGGATGCAGCATTCAAGGTGCCATCTTGGAAGTAGAGACCAGGCCCTCACCAGACACTGAACCTGCTGGCACCTTGATCTTGGGCTTCCAGCTTCCAGAACTGTGAGAAATAAATTTCTGTTCTTGATAAATCGCCCAGGCTAAGATGTGTGTGTGTTTTTGTTGTTGTTGTTGTTTGTTTTTGTTTTTGAGATGGAGTTTCACTCTTTTGTTGCCCAGGCTGGTGTGCAATGGCACGATCTTGGCTCACTGCACCCTCTGCCTCCCAGGTTCAAGTGATTCTCCTCCCTCAACCTCCCGAGCAGCTGGGATTACAGGTCCCCACCACCATGCCCCGCTAGCTAATTTCTGTATTTTTAGTAGAGACAGGGTTTCACCATGTTGGCCAGGCTGGTCTCGAACTGACTTCATGTGATCTACCCGCCTCAGCCTCCCAAAGTCCTGGGATTACAGGCATGAGCCACCATGCCTGGCCAGGTATTTTGTTACAGCAGCACAAACAGACCAAGCCAAGAATCCAGCTTGCATGTGTTAGAAGTGCAGCATAATCAAAAAGCCAAGCCGGGCAGGGTTCCAAGCTAACATACAGGCCTGCCAGTACTTGGGCTTGGCCCAGGCCTTCCGAAAACAGAGATGACAATGACAGCAGCAGGATACATATCTTACCTCACCTTCTAACGGGGAGGAGCCCCAGACAAAGGGCCAAGTCTGTGAATGGGTGGGACTAAGGCCATGAGCTTCAGGACCTGCACTGGGCAAGGTTGAGCCCTGTGGAGACAGAGTCACCATGTTTGGGATTGTTTATAAACCTGGTAACAGGTAAGCACCTCATAATATTGTGAGTTCCTCCCTTGCATGTGAGTGGCAGAGATAAGGATCAAGCCACCCCTCTCAAAGAAATTCACATCCAGCTCTGACTCTTGGGTGGGAAGAGAAAGTCAGAAAGAATAGGGAGAAGAAGCAGAAGTTTTGAAAGTAACTTCAAAGTGTTTCAAACTTTCAAAATATTAAGTATGTCTGTAAGCCAAGCTAGCTACAGCCAATTTCTAACACGGACACAAGAACAATTCTTTGTGAGGTCTATCTCATAGTCCCTTGAAACCATGACCATAGTTAGAACCATATGTAAGACCTAACATGTTTAAGGAAACTCCTGGCTGTCCGCTTTAATCTCGCAGTCCCAAAGAGCCTCTGAAATGTGGTTAGGTAAAATCTGAGCCCAGTCTCCTCAGAAGCATGATATCAAAACCTGTTTATTAACTCCGAAAGGGAAACTTCTCCAAGACTGTGTGTTTTCCTTAGGTGAATGAGGGTATAATAATGTCTCTAGTTTAGGAACCGAGAAGTGCAGTATTTGATCTTGCCTCCATGAAGTATAAACCAATGAACTTAAATAAAGGAGGCATATGAAAAGCACGGGACTTTGAAGGAAAATAAGATTTCTCAGCTGATGAGACCTCTGTGATACACTGTGCTCTGGGCTTGAATTATTTTTAGTCTTTGGCACAAAAATCAGGATTAGTATTTCACTTCTTGGCCTCTGAAGACACTCATATGACTTTGTCTTTCTGGACATAGCACGTGTTCTGATACAAACTCTGTGAAGACCCTTATCAGATTCAGTGAGACAGCCTAATTCCTGAGTATAATGAGCATTTTAAAGGGCCATAGGGCTATGACAAAAACAAACAAACAACTGGCCACTTCTATAAGGCATGAAGAAACCTTGAATAATCTCTGGAAACCACTGGAAGCCACCCCAGTGGCGTATCTTCAACATGTCTTATGAAAAATCTATTACATTTGACTATCTTCAGCATTTTGATGTTGCCTGTTTATTTCAACAGCATGGATGACTCACTTTCATAACCAGGCATAGCATGATTGGCCCAGTTCTAACAAACAAACAGGAATTTAGGCAAAGTGGGGATTCTTTCTCTGCAATCTTAAGGCCCCTGAGGGCACCCCTGTGTTGTGTCCCACATCATAGGCTAGCCACAGACTTCACTGGCTGTTCCACTGGGGCTGCTCTTGTTTGTGTCCACTCCATTTAACAGATTCCGGCAAACACTGAGCACTTTATAAATGTGTGCTAAGTAAGCAAGAATGAATTACTGTCTAAGCTCTGAGTTTCACCTTTCCCGGTGACACTGGCACTCTTTGCAACAAGGAGAACCAAGTCATCTAGCAATACATTGGGTTGTAAAGCTGGCTTCTAGCAAACCACTTGAGAAGGCAGGCTGGGAGGAACACAGCAGCAAGGTCACTTCAAGTAGCTTTCTCACTGCAAGACATGCCAATTCCGTTGTTTTCCACGTGAAAAAAGTGGATAATATAGTAGGCAATAGAAAAATGGGATCAGGCCAAGGGCTTCCAAGAGGCAGGGTTGGTTAGGTAAGCCAGATATGACCAAATTCGGGGTGAGCTTAAAAGAGGCAGACATCATACAACCTCTCCAGGAAACGCTTTCTTTATCATAATATTCATGATTATAATAATATGAAGAATATCCACTTATTCTTTTAATACTTGTGCCATAAGTTCCTACAATGTTCCAGACACTGCTCTGCATGCTGGCGACACAGCAATCAATAAAATAGGTAAAGTTCCCACCCTCATGGATACAGGGAGACAATGTGAGGAAGTAAATATCTAATATGTCACACAAGAGTCGGCATGTCAGGGGCTGTGATTTTATACAAGGTGGCCAGGGAAGGTCTCAGAAATATGGTAACATTCGAGCAGAGACCTGAAAAGAACATTCCAGAGGAGACAAGTGCAAGCATGCTCTGCACAGTCAGGGAGGTACAAGGCAGCCAGAGAGCCTTGGAGTGAAGAAAGCCGGGAAGAACAGTAGGAAACAACTTCAGGAGAACGGACGGCAAGAGGGCACATGATATAGCTCGTTCACTCCAAGATGTCCCAGTCCACTGCTTCCCATATGAGACAGGAAAATATAGTGTCTCATGGTCGTGTCATAAAATATAGAAACAACCATCACAATAACAAAACTTCTCACTGAAACCAAGACCCTTAAAAGTCTCCCCTACCAAGCCCTAGACAAAATGATAATGTCAGCATAGTTTATTTTTGACTCTTGTTAATAAATAGATTTCTGACGTGCATGTCTTTCTTGCAAGCAAGATACCCTGTTCTACTGTTTCGTTTGTATAAAGTGACACACAGCTTTACAAGTGGGATCCAGGTTTTGTTGGACAGTGCTGGACTGTGTCAGGTTCTTAACTCCATGTTCATTAATTTAAGCCTTACAATAACTCTGTCTGGTAGATGTTATCCTTCCCATTGTGTAAGCAATACAATAAAACTCAGAAGATAATTTTCCCCAAAATTAGCCAACTTATAAGTGGAAGCTCCAGAATTCCCACCCAAATGTATGGCTCTATGTCTAGAGTACTTTAGTCATTTGGTCATATCTTGCAAAGAAAAGAAGGAGAAGAGCAGTGGATCCTTGAGTGGGTGTTGAGAAACTGGGAATAAGATCAGCCCTGTGACCCAGAGGTTCAGAAAACTTTCAGGATGCATTTAGTCCTCAAGAGAGTGAATAACAAGGAAATGTGAACAACTGCTTCCTTGGATGGCCGAGAACATTTATGGGAAAAAGAAACCTTGACTGAGAACCTTTGGAAATTAGAATGAAAGAAAATCTTCTAAAATTGTCAAATATCAAGAATCTGAACTAGAAAACTACATGTTTGGGAGAAAGTTTAACCTTGATGGCACTGCCAGGATGAGGGAAAGCACCAGGAACCTTGAGTGTAGCCTTGGCTGAGACTGGGCGCTAAGGCTGTGAGGCATTGATAGAATGGTACATGTTGGAAGAACGAGATACTCCAAATCTGTAAGTAGCTGTCTGTCTTGTGAGAGGTAAATGTGTGAATAAATTTGCAGTGTTTCCCTTTCCTCTGGCAGAGCAGCCCACGAAAGCTGATATGTTTGTGCAAATGTAATGCAAATACCTGAGTACTGTTCTTGGAAACCCATTTTGCAGTGGCTTTATTAGCCAGCATATAAAATGGAGATACTTAAAGGTTGTTAAGTTTTAAAAGCAAAACTGATTTCTATGATCTAAGCAATCATCTATCCTGTTTTGTGCAATAATGTAAATTTGGGGCATCTTTAGGCTGAGCTGCGTTTCTGCAGTCCTTCTGCTATTTCTTTACAAGTGTTTCTTCTCTGGAGCTGGTTTCCCAGACAAGAGTTGGGATGGTCCCAGATGCAAAAAGAGGCAGGAATTATAAAGTCTTACTGCAGGGCTTAAGACAGAAGTCTACAAATGCAAGAAAATCCAAAGAAAGAGCTGATACCAACTAGCTTTCCAAGGGAATTCTGAATTTCCAGCAGATGTGTGCCATGGTGACTGCTTCCTTGGAGTACATTTTTTTTAATAGCTCAAGCAGCATTTGACTGTTGTTGTCCTCATGGGGATGTGTTTGTTCTCACGGGGTCATGCTCACAACAGAGTCTAGAACCAACTCCCAAAGGAATATAAGAGAAGCCACTGTGACATTTCCCTCTTAGATTGGAGAAAGAACCATAAAGATGAGCTGACTGGGACTAGTGAAACTCCCCAGATTGATGTACCAATATCTTATGCATGGGGCTATATAAGGATGGCAAACCCAGACTTTGATAAACATTAAAAATAAAAAGACCCTGCTGATGGTTGCATATATCTGTGAATATACAAAAGACTATTGCATGTCACACTTGGATGGGTGAATTGTATGCTATGTGGATTATATCTCAATAATGCTGTTTGAAAAATTAAAAAGCTACCTTTTCTTCATATAGTTAAAAAAGAAGGTAACAAAGGACATCTCTGTCCACCATTATGCTATATATGTATTTCTTCGATGACTCATGGGCTTATTTTGATGTCTTCAGTAAGAGCCATAGGGTAAAGTCTTAAACGATGGTGAAAGAGTCTGCCATTGACACCTCAATAGTCAGTCATCCTGTAAGCAAACAGAAACAGAAAACTGGAATTTATAAGGCAGGCCTTCGGTAGAAGACACACCCTTCTCTCCATGCATCTCAGTGTCTTGGTTCTGGAATCTGGAGATGAGACCATGTGAGCATAGCTCTATAGTATGGACAACAGGACTTTAGCTCATGAAAACATCCTTTTGCAGGCCCCCGGCTAGAGATGAGTAAATGATGTCTTATAGACCAGGTGCCTATTTGTACGTTACTATGTTATTTTGGTTATCTCTGAACTTCCAGTAAAGTCTTGTTTGTGAATCATCCTCTTTTCAGCTGGTTGAATACTAGTACAACAAATAAGTCACATTTGTTCAGCATTCACCTAGTCTTCGCAAAAGCTTTATTAGACACTATGAGTATTAGTTTGCTAGTATTAGTATTAGGCTGCCATAACAAAATACTACAGATTGAAAATAGACATTTATCTTCTTACACTTCCAGAGTCTAGAGAGTGCCAACAAATTCAGTTTCTGAGAAGGGCTTTCTTCTTAGCTTATAGATGGCCACCTTCCTGCTATGTCCTAACCTGGCCTTTCCTCTCTGCTCCTGCTAGGAGGGCAAGCTCTCTAGTGTCTCTTCCTGTTCTTATAAGGACACCAATCCCATCATATTAGGGCCCCACCCCTATGACCTCATTTAACCTTCATTATCTCCTTAAAGTCACAGTGAAGGTCAGGGCTTCAACACATGGATTGGCATTGGTCAGGGGTGCCATATTCAGTCCCTAACGCTATTATTTTCCCTATTGTACACCTAAGAAAACTGAAGCTCAGAAAAGTGATTTTTGTCATAGTTAAAAAGCAAGATGGGAACCCAGGATGTCTGATGGAAGAAATATGTCTTTATGCACTTTATTTATACCATTGCAGTGAATTAATGTGTGTGTATACTTTGACGAACATGTTAATAGAGGATCAGGCTGAGTGATGGTGGCAAAGAAATATATAGTGAAAAGAACATCTTAGCAACGCTACAGTCATGACAACCAGGTTCTGCCAGCCTTCCCTACATGGGCTTCCCTGTCCCTTGCCAGACTTGAAGGTCCTGGATCTAAATTTATTAAGAAAGTTTATGGTTTTATTTGCATTATTCTAAATAAGAAAAAACATTATAATCCGGACTCTGGAAACCCCAAGAGTTTTGATGATGGCCACACAAATGGTGGCAAAGCAAGTAGGCTGTGGTTCAAAGTCACCTATACCTTTCAATACACATAAGTATCATTTAAGCCATGGACTGCATAGTACTTATTACTATGACAAACAGATATGCCTACCCCAAATCGTCCCTGCTCTGCAGACTTTTCCTTTTCTCTCCTAACATCTCAATATATTTGTCCTATTCCAGTGTCCTATTCCTTCTGCCTGACACATGCTGGCTAAAATGTCTTCTAAGGGTATTTCACTTATTCATTCGTCACATGTTTATTGCTTCCCTATTATAAATCAGATATTATTTCTAGGCACTAGCAATAGAATAGTGAATAAGTGAATAGTGTCCTCAAAGTACGAGTGTCTTTGTAAGGCACTTCATATATTATTGTGAGGATCTTAACATTCTTAGAACCTGTGAACAGAGAAGGCTCAGAGATGGCCATGCCTTTATCTTAAGAAGAGCATTTCTACTGCCAAATCAATCACAATCATTGTGAAAAAATGTAATGTGATCTGCATACATGATTAAATGGTTTCAAGCCCTAGCTTCATGTCTTTCATTTTTTCATGCAGTATCCACCATGTACCGGGAATTATGCTTGGTTCTAGTGGTACAGAATTTACTAGGGGAGAGGGACAGGCCATTACAATGCAATGTGCTAAGTGCTATGAAAGAATCACCATCAAAATGCTTTGGAATTACAAAGGAGGGAGCAGTTTGGTCTCTTTGTCAGAATGTAGAGAGCTTCATATAAAACATAAAATTTGAGCTAAGTGATTGAGGAACAAGTATTTTCTAGGTAGAGAAAATGAATTAGTCTATGTCTCTGTATTACTAGAGACATATGGCATTTGAGGAGAAGGGAAAAAAAATCAGCATGGCTGATGAGAATTTTAGGCAGGTAGGAAAAGTTAAAGGACCATGTCTAGCCTCTCTCTGTATTTCTAAGATCCTTCCATAAACTCAACTCCCACACCTTCATAACTTAATGGCACAGAGAACCGTAAATAAAATTTACCTCTATAAATGCTTGTCTTCTCAAAGTATACATACATATATGTATACAGATACATATTTTAGCTTGTAAGTTATCATAATGAGACATAGAAGTACCGAGTTGCTTTTTACTCAACATATTGGGGATTTGATTTTACCAATAGTTACTCAAATTTGACTTGGGATATAAAACATCTTACTTCCTATTAAGGTATAAGAATTAGCCTCCGATGACATAAAATTGAGCACATCAGAACTTGCATCAAAGACTGTGCACTTGTACTTTCAAAATCTTTGACTCAATTAAATGATGTTTAAAATCTATTGCTTCAAATTCATTGTGGTAGATAGAAAGCAATCTTTTACTTTGAACCAGATGACAATGGATCACAGAAGGGTACAGTGCTCTAAAGAAGCTTCCTAGCACTCATTCAGAAACTTGTCCAACAACTTCATGGCCCATCCTTCATAAAGAGATCAGGGAAACAATAAAGAATAAACATATTATTTTGGTAGCCTTAGCTCTGTTTGACACATAATTCTAGCTTTCTGCTTTCCAGGTACATGGTAAGATTATATTTCCTTCAAGATGTTATTCCAGATACTCCAAAGCTTTTTTTCCCTTCCATCTTGATGGCCAATGATAACAGCTGCTTGATCAGGATCAGCCTGGTTCCAGAATGGGAACAAGACAAAGCAGTTACCAGACACTTCATAATGAACATACAAAGTAAGTGAGAAGTAAACCTTTGTCGCTACAAACCACTAAAATGTGGGAATTATTTGTTACTAGGTATAATCTAGCCTCGGCTGAGTGATAAGTTCTACGTATTTGAGAGTTGAATCAACAATACAGTATTTCAAAAGTATAATTAACCATTCATGTGTCACACACAAAACACACACTGTGCTACATATTTTGCCTTTATTTTCATACCTCCTGGATGGTATATTTTATAGGCATATTTTATAAATGATAAATAATGTAGGTGTATTTTATAAATGATAAAACAGGGTCAGAACAGTAAGTTGCAGAGTCAAAATACAAACCAAATCCTCTCATTAGAAAATTGGCCTCCTTTTCACTATACCCCATGACCTCTCCTACTATTTCTAGGGCATAATGTGGTCTCATCAAATGTAACCTAGCTATCACTTGAATCTCAATCTCCAAGACCTAGACATATGATTTGAATCCCATATTGACATTTTACAGAACATCAAATCTTTTCCCAAGAATTTTGCAAATGCCCAGAGGGTTTATGAGCCCAAGCTCTTCCCTGCCTCCTGGAATCCTGATTCTTCATTTGAATCTGTCCTGCAAAATGTGAAACCAGAGATGACACTGAGCCCCTTCGCCATTTCCACCAAAACAAAACAAACCGAGAGTCAAAAAATGCATGTACACACATACATATACACAAAAAAAATCAGGTAATGGAGTCTGAGAGCACACTGCAGATCAAACAACTGAAAATCTCATGTTAGACATTTCTAGTCTTCAAAGGTTCTTTCAGACCACCTACCTCTAGAGAGGTTTGTTTTGTGATCCATGCCCCACAGAATACCTAAATTCCTGCCTGGCCCCTGGTTCCTTTTTCCCCTTGCTCCTCCCACCAACCTCCTAGATTTTCTCTGCAACTCTGAATTCCTCTTCCTCAACCATTCAGAATGAGTCAGCTCTCTCTAGTTCCTACTTTCTGATTTGAGGAGTCAAACTTGCCAAACCTATCAACCTTCCATTTAATAAAAACTACCCTCTTTAACAGTTGATTGTGGTTTTTAAAGTACTTTTTTCTGTTATATAAACCATAAAATAGCCCTTTCAGATATGAATGTGGAACAAGCATTAAGGCAATGCCTATTCAATTCTCTTACTCAATGCCATCAAACATATCCTGAGACTTCTGCCAGGCAACGTAAGAGATGCAAAAGACTTGGTTCCAGACCTCAAGATCTTTACCTTCAAACTGAAGACCCATGACTATTATACATGAAATGTCTTGAAAACCTCCCAAGTCCTTGCCTACAAAATAGGATTTATCAAGGCAACAAGAGTTTAGTAAAGACTGATGTGTTCGAGTGAGGCCTCATGAAGGGACTGGGACTTCAGATAGGAAGTTTATGTGCAGGGATTGGTAGCTATATAAGATAAGGTGGATAGGATATACGTGATAGAGTATAAGGAGAGTGGATAAGGTATAAGTGATAGAGTATAAGCCAAAACCAGCTGGGAGGAGTGTGTGTGTTCTTAAGAAGAGCATTTCTACTGCCAAATGGTGTGTGCTGGTGACACTTCATCCCGTCGTCCCGTCTCTTCCTAGTCTACTGTGCCTAGAGTCATGTAACAATTAAAAAAAGCAAAATATGTATTAAACCCAGATGTTTTTATCTCAACCCCAAGACTCTTTCATCTCCCAGTAGCTCTCCAATGGTGATACCACAAGCCAACAGTTTGTCCTGAGTTGGACTGATGGGTTCTGCCTCTACAATCTGGTCTTTTTCTAATTGTTGAGAAAAGATATTCACGAATAGTATTTGCTCAATTTTGAGTTTTTCTTCTCTAAATTTTTCAGTCCTCTCACACAAGTTTTCTTTGTTGATAACAAAACAAATTGCAAATAAACACTATGGGGAAAACGAGAAACAGTATGTACTCTTAGTTTTCCTTGGTTTATTTGTTTGTTTTTCATGAACTAGTAGTATTCATGGAGGGGAAAGCCCAGGATTGGGAGCTATTCTCCCTGAATTCACACCTCTACCTTGCCCCTCATAAGCTGTGTGTCCTTCCTTAGGCAAATCATCTAATCCTTCAGAGCCTTGGTGTCCTACTTGTAAATTGAGGATATTTATAACACCATATCGCAGGGTCAAAGTGAGAATTAAGTGCATACATACATTAGAAACAACTCCACCATTAGGAACAATGACAAAAAATGTAATAATAAAAACAATAATAATAGCTAACACTTTGAGAACGTAGTATGTGTCAGGCACTGATTTATTTATCAATAAATATTACTTATTATTATTATTTTTCATCAGTATTCCTTATTGTGAAGTTCTCCCCAATGCATATAACAGAAAGAAATACATCATTATTTCGTAGTGTTCTGAAATGAGCTGTATGACTCTCCTCATATTCTCTGCTACCTGGAAAGCATTTGAGAAGCCCCGGAATGCTCGTCAAAAAGGTTGATGTCATTCTTCCCTCACTTACACTTTCACACCACTAACTTTCTGTCCAAATTTCAAAATAGAACATTTGCTTCTGGTTGGATGAAAATCTTTGTTCTGAAGCCAACAGGCCATCTAGGATTCACCGACTGGTCTGGTGGATGCTAGATAAAGAGAAGCCCCAGAGGAAAATGCTTAAGATTTCCTACTGTTATTGCTGCTATGGGATTTCATTATGCATGTACTACAGACAAGGATGCAATTATGTAGTTACATGGTTCTCAAATGTAATATATTTCAGTGTTGGAATCATGATCAGAGCTTCTTACTATGGCTTCAAATCCTGCCTACATTTGAATGATAGGATGAGTTATTAAAATGGAGAAAACTGAACAAGATGCATTGCAAATCCATTTTCCTATTCTCTGGGTAAGCAAATTAATCCCAACATCCCCTTCAAACTGAGTATATCCTGTGCTCAAATGGTTACTCGGAACCATAGTGAAGAGTCCTTATCAAGCATCCTTCTTCACAGAACTCATGTGCTAGGATGCTTTCATTCAAGCTTCAACCAACCAGAGAACTTCCAGTTAGAGAGTAGTAACTAATCACCATAGGCTGTGGTAAGAATTCTCAGAGATTCTGCTTCACCCAAGGTGAAGGTATGAAATTAAATGAACAAATTATTAGTGCAGCACTTATTTTCAAACCATTAAGTATTGTTTAGAAACTGACATTTTACAAATAAAATCACTGTCCTGGAAAAAGCAAATCTGTTGGCTTCACAGAGGTATCCTTTTTTCTCCAAAACTACAAATTTTGGAATTTATTAATATGCATATTTTAGGATGATCCTGTTTGAAAAGACCATGATGAACCAATGCACTTAAGTGAAGTTATAGTCATTTTTAATGACTCAGGAAAAATCTCTACATCATCAATAGGCTGCATAACTCTCTTAGAAATCAAGGATGTAGCTTCCATGAGAAGCACTTTCCACAAAGCATAAACAAAAATCCTTAAACAACCAACTTATTAAATCTAGAAAAGCTCTCATTCCAGAATTTCTATAGTTAACTTCAAATATAACAAAATAACCAAGCTGCAGAAATTAACATTAAAACTCTACTCACAAATTTATCAATTTGAAATGCAAGTTCTCCAAAAGGAAGGATAATGTTGACAGAGCCTGCTTACCAGAATCCATTAAACTGGAATCCAGCAACATTATTATCAGCAACCTTAATCTGTCATGAAGATTTCTTGATTATTCAAATACAATCATGGGCCACATAATGACACTTCAATGATAGACTGCATACACAATGGTGGTCCCATAAGATCATAATAAAGCTGAAAAATTCCTATCACCTAGTGACGTTTTGATGATCCTGACCCTGTGTAGGCATAGGCTAATGTGTGTTTGTTTCTTCATTTTTAACAAAAATGTCTAAAAAGTAAAAATAACTAGAAATTTTAAAAATAAGAGAATGCTTATAGAATAAGGATATAAAGAAAGAAAATATTTTTGACAGCTCTACAATGTGTTTGTGGTTTAATCTAAATGTTATTATGAAAGAGTCAAAAGGATTGAAAAAAATTAAGCTTATAAGGTAAAAAAAGCTACAATAGACTAAGGTTAATTTATTTTTGAAGGAAGATAATTTTAAAAAATAAATTTAGTGTAGCCCAAGTGTCCAGTGTTAATAAAGTCTACAGTAGTGTACAGTGACATCCTAGGCCTTCACATTCAGTTACCACTCACTCACTGACTCACCCAGAGGAACTTCCAGTCCCACAACCTCCATTTATGGTAAGTGCCCTATACAGGTATACCATTTTTTATCTTTTATGTCTTATTTTTACTGTACCTTTTCTATGTTTAGATCTGTTTAGCTATACAAACACTTACCTTTAGGTTACAACTGCCTGTAGTATTTAGTGCAGTAACATGCTTTACAGGTTCGTAGCCTAGGATCAATAGATTATACCATATAGCTTAGGTATATACTAGGCTATACCATCTAGGTTCATTAAGTACACTCTTACCATGTGCAAACAATGATGGAATCATCTAATGATGCATTTCTCAGAATGTATTCGTGTCTGTATAATGATGCATGACTGTATAGTAAATGAAAAGGGTTGAAGCATATTCAGAGAAGATAGGTTAAGCAGCTTTTGATAAATACTTAACAGTGGCTACTAATTCTACAGGCTTCATATGAAACATTTTTACATAAATATGATTTTCAAGCCTCATAATAATTTTGCAAGTTGAGTATCATTATCTCCATTTTACAAATGAAACAACTAAGGATGAGGAGTGTTGGGTTATCTTCTGAAAACCTAAGAGATAGTAACTTGTTGAACCAGGAATCAAAGAGAGGTTTGCCTAACATCAAACCTGGTGCATTTCTCCACATATTGAACTACTTCACTAAGGTATGTGTGGTGCTTTTCTGTATATTAATTGCCTCATTCACTCTAGTCAACAGCCCTCTGATATAGGTATTACTATTCTTGTTTTAAAGACAGGAAAATTGAGGTTCAAGAAAATAAATGGCACCAAAAGCCAGACAGGGAGTAAGTGGTAATTCTCTTCCAATAACACCACAATGCATCTCCCCAAGAATTAGCAACAGAACTCCATCATCAACCAGGAGAGTAAGATTCAAATTGAACCGAGTTGTGGTAGATCCTTAATCAGACACATTCCATTTAACTTTTTTCAAAGTCTGTTGCCATGGTTGTTAAGACCAGCATGCATTCCTTGAGATTACAACAATCTCACAGCTGACGATGCTGGAAATTGCATTTTGAGGTGTCATTACAAGAGTAAAACCAAAACGAAACAAACAAAAAAATTAGTCTATGGCAATGAGATTCAGTAGTCAAGACAATCATTCCACTTAGGATTGTATTTAAATATTTTTACTGATCTTTACTAGCATTATTATTATTATTATTATTATTATTATTTTAAAATACATGGTCTTTATGGAAAAAATTGTTGAGTTAAAAAGTAGAAAGAATATGGGGAGAAATGTATAGTTTTTAGCATCCCAAGTCCACCACAACTGACAGCTTGGATTTTTTTTTTTCTTTTGCTCTTTTTAATATTTATAGTTTTATATACCTTTGTGTATTTTTTATAAAGTCATCATCATATTATACATATAACTTGGTCTTACTTTTTTCATTGAACATTGTAACATGGGAATAACAAGCACCAGGTTACTAACTGCTAATATTCTATGGACCATGATTGTCATGATTTGTATATATTTTTTTCTCAGTACAATAGTTAGTCCTTTTGAGTTTTTCCAATTAATCTCTGTTATAAAAAACTTTGCAATGGGTCTTGATCCATAAATGTTTCGTCCAATATTTAGGCTTATTGCATTGGATAAATGCTCAGAAATAAAATTAATGATCATTTTTAAGACTGAGTAGATATTGTCAAATTATTTTTCTAAATGCATGTATTTCCCACTTGAAATGTCATTAATATCATTTGAATATCCCAATTTCAGCAAAGTGACAGAATATTTCCCAGAGTATTCTCTGAAAACCTATATGAATCTGTGTCATTTATTCTGAATTTAACCACTTAATTAGTTCATTCTCATGTTAAAAATAATCTTTGGCTCCAAAGAAGAAATTGAAGACGCTTCCATAGATAATAAAAGTGTCCTGGAACCATCACCACTGCCTTTTAGCCATACTTTAGACACTTCATTATTGTCTTATAACTGGGCACTGGGCAGAATGTAACTGCAACCACAAACGCTTAAGCAGCACCTATACGCATTATCTTTGGACAATCTGACTCTGGATGACTTCACTGGTGTTGGGGACTTTGCAAAGCCTAGCCTTGTCCAAGTTGGTCAACAGCTGATCTTTGATGAAGCAACCATCACTTGTGAAAGGTTATTTCAGGTTACAAGGCTTCCCTTTGGAAATTCTTTCCTTCATACAATTTTTCAGTGTCTGGGTAACTTTGAAGAAATACACTTTAAAAGAGATGCAATTAGGACTTCACTGAGTCTTAAAAAAAAAAAAAAAGAGAGACAGAGAGCGTGCTAATGCAGGTATCTGCCAGGAGAGAGATAACACTATTCCACCAGAATCCTGGTCTGGTTTATGAAGTAGAAGTAATGTTCCCAGAATAGGAAAATAGGAGCATTGTCTTGACTGAGGAAAGGAAGATGGGGGAGGGAGGAACACAGGGAGAGGGTCAGAGATTGAGGGAGAATCAGAAAGTGAACTAGAAACAGAAAGAAGAGAACTTTTTTCATGTCTTTGGATAGTTGTAAGATTGAAGAAAAATTTTAACATATTTTGCTCAATGATATACTACTGTGTAAACTCCTGGACTAGCTCTTTAAGAAAAGATTGTAAAGATTCACATCGTTTTCTGGTCTTCTGCAGTCAAATGCTCCACCACTGAGCCATATCCCCATTTTCTGGTCTTCTGGAGTTAAACTTGTAGTGGTTTGAGGTGGAGAGTGAGATGACAGAGAGCTGTTCTTACTGGGCTCTTTTATGTCTTATCTACTGGGGACAGGTCTAAAGGTGAGACATCTATATTTAATTTATATAAATATTTTCCGAGGAAACCATTCTGAATTGACTGGGTCTTCACCAAAGCTCATATGGTTTATACGCTGACATGCTGCTATCAACTTTGACCCTGGGTCCTCTCCTATCCCACCCCAACCCCACCCCAGATTCTGACTTTTACTTATGGAATCTAGAATCTGGATGACTTTGAAGATTTTGCTATCCTGGTATTGACTTAAGCCCTGATCACTATCCCCAGTCATCACCCCTTATTTTTGCTTTTCCTTATAGTGTGAGCTTTGCTATCTTATCCATCTTATACACACTCCCATAGCATTGCCAGCCCTGCCTGATTTGTCTCAGTAATATTAGCTTGGCCTAGGCAGCTAGCACTAGTCTATACAGCAGAGAGAACATACCAATCACACAACCAAGGGAAGATACATTCATGAAAATCTTTTGATTGCCTGATATTTTCACAAATTATAAAACAAGAAAAAATGTGGAAGTCAAGTTGGAATTTCAACTCCCCCTTAAGTAATGACATGAATACTTTGCCCACCCCCACTCCCACCACTTAATAGGAGTAGAGTCATATTTTATTTGAAATTTAGTTTCCAGTGTTTGCTTTTTGGTTAGAACTGTGTATCATAAAAAAATACTTTTAAAAATCCCTTAAATAGCCCAAAAAGTTTTATGTAATTCTTCAATAATTCTAAAAGCCCAGCAAACCCAGGTTTTTCTCTAGTGTTAGAATACATCACTAGTGGCTTCAGTTGAGCCCTGGAGAAAGTCATTATGTGCTTAGAGGCTGTGTTGTATAAAAAATGTAAACTATGACTTGAACTCTAGATCAACATGTCAATATGTTCCCAGTAGGAGAGTCGCATGGTAACTTGGAGACGTAGGAGCACCAGAATCACAGCTTTCAACCCACATTCACTCTGGGGTACAAGCTCACTGAGTGGAAATATGAGCAGAAATATCTATGCATCATAGTAGCCATAATGTATCTACTCCTAAACTAAATCGGGGTGTTAAGTCTTCTTAGAGCTATTTACTAATTCATCTATTTCAGAAACAAACACCATAGGCTTATTCTATATCAAACATCAGGTTGGATACTGCAGCAGCGACATAGAGCAATGAAACATATTTTTTATCCTCCAGGAGCTCATTGTTGGGTGAGGGAAAGACAGAAGTTTGGACCAATATTGATCATTCAATTCAGCAACATTATATGCACACCAACAGAGGTGTAGGCATGAATTGATGAGAACATAGTGGGAGACCTTATTAATCCCAGCTGGGTAAGTTATGGTAGAAGTTACAGAAGCCTCTGAGAAGAGGTTCACTGATGATAAATTTATAATTCTTAGTGCAAAAATGGGCCTAGTAGCTCCTACTGTAAAGGTAAGCAACATGCATTTCATGCTATGTTTTTCAATCTCCGTAGTACTACTTGCTCATTCATTCACTCATTCACTCAATTTTTCAAGCACTAAGCTATAGAGATTAAAGTATGGGGTCTGAAATTACTTGGCCTGGATACCCTTTGTAAATCTGACAATTACCCAAGCCCTCTAAATCTTAATTACCTTCTCTCTAAAACATGAATAGAACCCTGTATTAGTCAGGGTTCTCTAGAGGGACAGAACTAATAGGATAGATGCATATATGAAGGGAAGTTTATTAAGGAGTATTGACTCACATGATTACAAGGTGAGGTCCCACAACAGGCTATCTGCAAGCTGAGGAGCAAGGAAGCCAGTCTGAGTCCCAAAGCTAAAGAACTTCAGCTTTCTGCCATGTTCGATGGCGGAAAGCATCCGGTACAGGAGAAAGATGTAGACCTGAAGACTAAACCAATCTAATGTTTCCACGTTCTTCCACCTGCTCTTATTCTGGTCATGGTGGTAGCTGATAAGATGGTGCCCAGCCAGATTAAGGGTGGGTCTGCCTTTCCCAGTCCACTGATTCAAATGTTAATCTCCTTTGGCAACACCCTCACAGACACATCCAGGAAGAATACTTTGCATCCTTCAATCCAATCAAGTTGACAACAGTAACCATCACAAACCCACATCTTGTGATTTTAAAAAACTGATGCCAGGCGCAATGGCTCATGCCTGGAATCTCAGCTCTTTGGGAGGCCACAGCAGGTGGATCACTTGAGGTCAGTGTTAGGCCTCTGAGCCCAAGCTAATCCATCATATCCCCTGTGACCTGCACGTACACATCCAGATAGCCAGTTCCTGCCTTAACTGATGACATTCCACCACAAAAGAAGTGAAAATGGCCTGTTCCTGCCTTAACTGATGACATTATCTTGTGAAATTCCTTCTCCTGGCTCATCCTGGCTCAAAAGCTCCCCTACTAAGCACCTTGTGACCCCCACTCCTGCCCACCAGAGAACAACCCCCCTTTGACTGTAATTTCCCTTTACCTACCCAAATCTTATAAAACGGCCCCACCCCTATCTCCCTTCGCTGACTCTCTTTTTGGACTCAGCCCGCCTGCACCCAGGTGAAATTAACATCTTTATTGCTCACACAAAGCCTGTTTGGTGGTCTCTTCACACAGACGCGAGTGAAATTTGGTGCCATGACTCAGATCAGGAGACCTCCCTTGGGAGGTCTTTGCTCTTTGCTCCATAAGAAAGATCCACCTACAACCTCAGGTCCTCAGACCGACCAGCCCAAGAAACATCTCACCAATTTCAAATCCGGTAAGCGACCTCTTTTTACTCTCTTCTCCAACCTCCCTCATTATCCCTCAACCTCTTTCTCCTTTCAATCTTGGCACCACACTTCAATCTCTCCCTTCTCTTAATTTCAATTCCTTTCATTTTCTGGTAGAGACAAAGGAGACACGTTTTATCCATGGACCCAAAACTCCGGCGCTAGTCACAGACTAGGGAAGGCAGCCTTCCCTTGGTGTTTAATCATTGCAGGGACACCTCTCTTATTATTCACCGAGGTTTGAGAGGTATCAGACCACGCAAGGACGCCTGCCTTGGTCCTTCACCCTTAGCGGCAAGTCCCACTTTTCTGGGGTAGAGGCAAGAATCCCAATCCCTTCTCTCCATGTCTCTACCCCTTCTCCGCTCTTCTGGAGGAGGGGCAAGAACCTCTCAACCCCTTCTCCATCACCCTTAGCAGCAAGTCCTGCTTTTCTAGAGGAGGGGCGGGAACCCTTATTTTCATGCCCCAACCTCTTATCTCTGTGCCCCAACCCCTTATTTCCACACCCTGACCCCTTCTCTGCTTTTCTGGAGGGCAAGAACCCCCAACCCCTTCTCCGTGTCTCTACTCTTTTCTCTGGGCTTGCCTCCTTCACTATGGGCAAGCTTCCACCTTCCATTCCTCCGTCTTCTCCCTTAGCCTGTGTTCTTAAGAACTTAAAACCTCTTCAACTCTCACCTGACGTAAAATCTAAGCATCTTATTTTCTTCTGCAATGCCGCTTAACCCCAATACAAACTCGACAGTAGTTCCAAATAGCGGGAAACCGGCACTTTCAATTTTTCCATCCTACACGATCTAAATAATTCTTGTAAAATAGGCAAACGGTCTGAGGTGCCTGACGTCCAGGCATTCTTTTACACATCAGTCCCTCCCTAGTCTGCTCCCAATGCAACTCGTCCCAAATCTTCCTTCTTTCCCTCCCACCTGTCCCCTCAGTCCCAACCCCAAGCGTCCCTGAGTCTTTCTAATCTTCCTTTTCTACAGACCCATCTGACCTCTCCCCTCCTTGCTAGGCTGAGCTAGGTCCCAATTCTTCCTTGGCCTCCGCTCCTCCACCCTATAATCCTTTTATCACCTCCCCTTCTCACACCAGGTCCAGCTTACAGTTTCGTTCTGTGACTAGCCCTCCCCAACCTGCCCAGCAATTTACTCTTAAAAAGGTGGCTGGAGCTAAAGGCATAGTCAAAGTTAATACTCCTTTTTCTTTATCCCAAATCAGATAGCGTTTAGGCTCTTTTTCATCAAGTATAAAAATCCAGCCCAGTTCATGGCTCATTTGGCAGCAACCCTAAAACGCTTTACAGTCCTAGACCCTAAAAGGTCAAAAGGCCGTCTTACTCTCAGTATATATTTTGTTACCCAATCTGCTCCCAACATTAAATAAAACTCCAAAAATTAAATTCCGGCCCTCAGACCCCACAACAGGACTTAATTAACCTCGCCTTCAAGGTGTACAATAATAAAGTAGAGGCAGCCAAATAGCAACATATTTCTGAGTTGCAATTCCTTGCCTCCACTGTGAGACAAACCCCAGCCACATTTCCAGCACACAAAAACTTCCAAACGCCTAAACCGCAGTGGCCAGGCGTTCCTCCAGAACCACCTCCCCCAGGAGCTTGCTACAAGTGCCAGAAATCTAGCCACTAGGCCAAGGAATGCCGGCAGCCCAGGATTCCTCCTAAGCCGTGTCCCATCTGTGCAGGACCCCACTAGAAATCGGACTGTTCAACTCACCTGGTAGCCACTCCTGGAGCTCCTAGAACTCTGGCCCAAGGCTCTCTGACTGACTCCTTCTCAGATCTTCTCAGCTTAGCGGCTGAAGACTGACGCTGCCCGATCGCCTCAGAAGCCCCGTAGACCATCACGGACGCCGAGCTTTAAGCAACTCTCACAGTGGAAGGTAAGTCCGTCCCCTTCTTAATCAATACGGAGGCTACCCACTCCACATTACCTTCTTTTCAAAGGCCTGATTCCCTGCCTCCATAACTGTTGTGGGTATTGACGGCCAGGCTTCTAAACCTCTTAAAACTCCCCAACTCTGTTGCCAACTTAGGCAATACTTTTTTAAGCACTCCTTTTTAGTTGTCCCCACCTGCCCAGTTCCCTTATTAGGCCAAGACACTTTAACTAAATTATCTGCTTCCCTGACTATTCCTGAACTACAGCCGCATCTCATTGCCGCCCTTCTCCCCAACCCAAAGCCTCCTTTGCGTCTTCCTCTCGTATCCCGCCACCTTAACCCACAAGTATAGGACATCTCTACTCCTTCCCTGGCAACCGATCACATGCCCATTACCATCCCATTAAAACCTAATCACTCTTACCCGGCTTAACGCCAATATCCCATCCCACAGCACACTTTAAAAGAATTAAAGCCTGTTATCACTCGCCTGCTACAGCGTGGACTTCTAAAACCTATAAACTCTCCTTACAATTCTCCCATTTTACCTGTCCAAAATCCGGACAAGTCTTACAGATTGGTTCAAGATCTGCACCTTATCAACCAAATTGTTTTGCCTATCCACCCTGTGGTGCCCAACCCGTACACTCTTTTGTCCTCAATACCTTCCTCCACAACTCACTATTCCATTCTTGATCTTAAAGATGCTTTTTTCACTATTCCCCTGCACCCCTTGTCCCAGCCTCTCTTTGCTTTCACCTGGACTGACCCTGACACCCAACAGTCCCAGCAGCTTACCTAGGCTGTGCTGCCGCGAAGTTTCAAGGACAGCCCTCATTACTTCAGCCAAGCTCTTTCTCATGATTTACTTTCTTTCCATCCCTCCGCTTCTCACCTTATTCAATATATTGATGACCTTTTTCTTTGTAGCCCCTCCTTTGAATCTTCTCAACAAGACACACTTCTGCTCCTTCAGCATTTATTCTCTGAAGGATATCAAGTATCCCCCTCCAAAGCTCAAATTTCTTCTCCATCCGTTACCTACCTCGGCGTAATTCTCATAAAAACACACGTGCTCTCCCTGCTGATCATGTCTGACTGATCTCTCAAACCCCAACACCTGCTACATCCTAGGCATAGTTAGATACTTTCGCCTTTAAATGCCTAGATTTGCCATCCTAACAAAATCATTATATAAACTCACAAAAAGAAACCTAGCTGACTCCATAGATCCTAAGTCTTTCCCTACTCCTCTTTCTGTTCCTTGAAGACAGCTTTAAAGACTGCCCCAACCCTAGCTCTCCCTGACTTATCCCAACCCTTTTCATTACACACAGCCGAAGTGCAAGGCTGTGCAGTCAGAATTCTTACACAAGGACCAGGATCGCGTCCTGTAGCCTTTTTGTCCAAACAACTTGACATTACTGTTTTAAGCTGGCCATCATGTCTCCGTGCAGTGGCTGCTGCCACCCTAATACTTTTAGAGTCCCTTAAAATCACAAACTATGCTCAACTCACTCTCTACGGCTCTCATCATTTCCAAAATCTATTTTGTTCCTCACACCTGACGCATATACTTTCTGCTCCCCAGCTCCTTCAGCTGTACTCACTCTTTGTTAAGTCTCCTACAATTACCACTGTTCTTGGCCCAGACTTCAATCCGGCCTCCCACATTATTCCTGATACCACACCTGACCCTCATGACTGCATCTCTCTGATCCACCTGACGTTCACCCCATTTCCCCACATTTCCTTCTTCCCTGTTTCTCACCCTGATGACACTTAGTTTATTGATGGCAGTTCCACCAGGCCTAATCGCCACACACCAGCAAAGGCAGGCTATGCTATAGTACAAGCCACTAGCCTGCCTCTTAGAACCTCTCATTTCCTTTCCATCATGGAAATCTATCCTCAAGGAAATAACTTCTCAGTGTTCCATCTGCTATTCTATTACTCCTCAGGGATTATTCAGGCCCCCTCCCTTCCCTACACATCAAGCTCAGAGATTTGCCCCCACCCAGGACTGGCAAATTAGCTTTACTTAACATGCCCTGAGTCAGGAAACTAAAATACCTCTTGGTCTAGGTAGACACTTTCACTGGATAAGTAGAGGCCTTTCCCACAGGATCTAAGAAGGCCACCACGGTCATTTCTTCCCTTCTGTCAGACATAATTCCTCGGTTTGGCCTTCCCACCTCTATACAGTCCGATAGCAGACCGGCCTTTGTTAGTCAAATCAGCCAAGCATTTTTTCAGGCTCTTAGTATTCAGTGAAACCTTTATATCCCTTACAGTCCTCAGTCTCCAGAAAAGTCTTCAAACTAATAGTCTTTTAAAAACACACCTCACCAAGCTCAGCCACCAACTTAAAAAGGACTGGACAGTACTTTTACCACTTTCCCTTCTCAGAAATTCAGGCCTGTCCTCAGAATGCTACAAGGTACAGCCATTTTAAGCTCCTGTATAGATGCTCCTTTTTATTAAGCCCCAGTCTCATTCCAGACACCAGACCAACTTAGATTGTGCCCCAAAAAACTTGTCATCCCTACTGTCTTCTGTCTAGTCATACTCCTATTCACCATTCTCAACTACTCATACATGCTCTGCTCTTGTTTACACTGCCAGTTTACACTGTTTCTCCAAGCCATCACAGCAGATATCTCCTGGTGCTATCCCCAAACCGCCACTTTTAACTCTTAAAGTAAATAAATAATCTTTGCTGGCAAGGCTATGCTGAACCTTCTTAGGCACTCTCTAATTGGATGTCCTAGGTCCTCCCAATTCTTGGTCCTTTAATACCTTTGTTTCTCCTTCTCTTATTCCGTTTAGTTTTTCAATTCATACAAAACTGTATCCAGGCCATCACCAATAATTCTAAATGACAAATGTTTCTTCTAACAACCCCATAATATCACCCCTTACCACAAAATCTTCCTTCAGCTTCATCTCTCCCACTCTAAGTTCCCACGCCGCCCCTAATCCCGCTCGAAGCAGCCCTGAGAAACATCGCCCATTATCTCTCCATACCACCCCTCAAAAATTTTCACTGTCCCAATACTTTACCACTATTTCGTTTTATTTTTCTTATTAATATAAGAAGACAGTCAGGAGTTCGAGACCAGCCTGATCAACATGGTGAAACCCCGTCTCTACTAAAAATGCAAAAAATTAGCCGGGCATGGTGGTGGGCACCTATAATCCCAGTTACTTGGGAGGCTGAGGCAGGAGAATCGCTTGAACCCGGGAGGCGGAGGTTGCAGTGAGCCACGATGATCCCGCCACTGCACTCCAGCCTGGGCAACAGTGCCGAGACTCCGTCTCAGGAAAAAAAAAAAAACAACACTGATTGAGACGATCCATGTAAAGTACTTAGTATAGTGCCTGAAGCAAAATAAATGGCCAATGAATGCAACTGTTATCAATCATTGTGCTAAGTTTTTAAAGATGACTAGGATTCCTGGGCAGGGGGGATCGGGGGCGGGGGGCCAAGAAAAAGTAGAGAAGGGGATTCTAAGGAGGCAAAAACACTTATGAAAACAAACCAGAATTAAGAAAGCTGGTGAAGAGTATGTGTTTGAAGGGAGGGGCAAGTAATGAGATTGGAAAGATAAGCTGGGTCCTGATTGTGAAAGGGCTTGTAAACCACATGAACAAGTTTGAACTTTATCCCTCAGGCAAAGAGTAAACAATGGAAGTCTTTTTTTTTTTTTTTTTTTTTTGAGACGGAGTCTTGCTCAGTCTCCCAGGCTGGAGTGCAGTGGCGCTATCTCGGCTCACTGCAAGCTCCGCCTCCCGGGTTCAGGCCTTTCTCCTGCCTCAGCCTCCCAAGTAGCTGGGACTACTGGCGCCTGCCACTACGGCTGGCTAATTTTTTTATATTTTTAGTAGAGATGGGGTTTCACCGTGTTAGCCAGGATTGTCTTGATCTCCTGACCTCGTGATCCGCTCGCTTCGGCCTCCCAAAATGCTGGGGCCACGGCACCCGGCCGACAATGGAAGTCTTTAAGCAGAGAAGTAACCTTATGACATTTTTTTAGGAAGAAAATCCTGGCAGAAGAGTGTATGAAAAATTGGAAAGATGCAAATCCAGAGGCAGGGATATCCGTGGGAAATGTTTGCAATAATCTTGGCAAGAAAAATCTAAGGTAGTGATAATGAGTGAGAAATGAAGTGGAAGAATTGGACTTGAGGAATATTCTAAGGTAGGATGAGCAGATCGTAATGATTGATAGAATGCAAGGAACAAGAGAGAAGGAAGAGTCTGTAACCTATAATGACTCAAGCTAGAATAAAGACAAGAGAAGCAGAGGCAGCATAGATTTTGTTGTTCAGATGAGCAGTATGTGTATGCAAGACATGCTAGTAGGACTGTTATACAGGTAGTTGGAAACTGGGTCTAGAGTTCATTGCAAAGCTCCGAGCTAGAGATATAAATTTGGAAGTCATCAGAGAATAGCGAGCAGTGAAAACTCCGGGATTGATTCCAAAAAGAGGAGTTGAACAAGCTTTCTTCTTGGTCTGTTGCATTACTTTCCCTGCTATTCACTCTTCTGAAATGAAGTGCAATCCATGTCACATGGTCTCCAAAAATAATGTCTTCAAGCCGTCCTAGAGCTATTCACCTTTCACATTTTTATTCCACAAAATGCAGCCATGGTTAAGTCACCTCATTGTCTCATGTAGAAGAAGCATCCTTTGGCATTGAATTCATCAACAAAAAAACTGCTCCTTGGATTTTTGGGACTGTTTTCTTGACAGAAACCAGCCTCTTACCATAAACAATTTATGCCTCAACTTTGTTCAGCCTCAAAATGTTGGAGGACTAAACTGACCATTTTTTACAATGCATACTCATTTTCAGGAAGTAGCTGCATACAAATTTACCAAGAAACCCATAATTTTATGACAAATCAGTGTTTCAAAGGCCCTTCCACCTTTTACATTTTTTCTTCCTCTCAAGTCTTAGCAGGCAGATTCTTCTCTACAAATAAGGCTAAGCCCTTTATCGTGTCCCAGGTCCATAATGAATTGCATGACTCTTCTAGAATAAGAAATTTTGATCACAGAATATGTCTCTAAAGGGCTAAGGATGATCTTAAGGGTTTATGAAGCAGATATCTACCAGGAGAGAGAGAATATTTTTTTCCACCAGAATCCTAGTTTGGGCTGGGTAGGAGGAGGCCCCAGGCCAGTTATTTGAAGCAAATGAATGACCAAACATTGTCATTTTGGGCAATAGTTCACCATTTGCTTTGGATGAATGTAAAGAATTATGGGCAGGGCCATTATTAGACAGCCATAATATCTCATCATTCTCAAGCTTAATGTTGGACAAAAAAGAAGTTGCAGACTAAGGATGCCTTTGAGTTGACTGATGGATATAATTAACCAGAATGGCTTGGTAGTTTCCTCATTGCTCCATATACCATGTCTTCTTAACAATAGGAGCCAGTTATAACAAATCATCAATGAAAGAGCACAGAATTGAAATTTAGAAACATTAGGTTCACATCCCAGCTTCAATCTTGAGCAAATTAATTAAACTTTTAGGGGCTTATTATCCCTATTTGTAAAACATTGAAAATAGTACCACTTTACAGGGTTTTGTTTAAGCATCAGTGGGATAATATATGTGAAAACCTTTATCATAGCACCAAGTAAATAAAGACTTGCCCCCAAACATCAGTACTGGATCAGAAAAACAGCTTGGGCTCCAAATAAGATCATGGTCTGCTTATGCCAGATGTTGAGTCTTTGTTCTAATGATATAGTAGAATGAGTCTTAGCTCTAATGAAAGAGTCTTTGCTCTGTTGAACTTAGAGATCCTGAGTCATATTAGTTGGAGACCAGACCTGACCCATCTTTATATTAACCATCAGCAAATGCATTCTTATTTGAGTGACTAGAAAATTTAGGACTTTTAAGAAGTCGTTGCTTTTCTGTTTGTGATTTTTTTTTAGGTGCTCAACAAGAGAACCTACCTTTACCTCAATGTAAAAAAGCCATAAAAATCTGACAACACAACTGCTTAAATTAAAAAAATATATATATGCAGAACTTCAGACAGAAAAGGTAGAGTATCCCTCAGATTTAGTAAAGTTTTGGGTAGGGAACTAGCTGATTTTAAGACACTAGACTAGAGCTGCCTTGATATTATAACATAGTATGCATGACTAATATCTGGCATAGTTTTCAAACATAAATCTATTCCCCATAAACTTTGACTATGTGTGGCTCCCTCTCCAGTGTAAAATTTTGTCTGAGGAAAATTCCAAAGAGTTTCACTGAATACAAAAAACTGAAGAGAGCAAACTTAACAAATAAGACATTTTGGAAAAGGTCAAAGGATATTTAAGAGAGCTTGCCAAGATAAACAGCATAGGTTCAAAGAAAAAAAAAACTTATAATAAATTAATATTTTAGAATCCAATATATGTCACTCTCCTTGTATATTAGAATGAAATAGACATCCATTTAACAAGTACTCACCAAGGAGAAATTGATTTTGGGGGCCCACTGGACATTCACACCACAGTTTGCTACTGATACAATGAAAGGTTAATGTACCCAGTCACACAGAGCCAGTGAAGGAGGCTTGAGGTTGCACCTCATTCATGACCAAATCATCTTCAGGCAACCAAGAGACTTCCTGGAAACTTCTGTGAGAAGCTGTGGACTTTGCCATCCTGGGCCATTTATCCAGGCATGATGTTTAATTAGTGCACACAAAGTCGACGTGAAGGCTTGGCAACTCATCCTCTCACCCCTGTTGGGTTCATTGCCTCATTAGAAAAGCCCTGGATGACTAACCAGCCAGACAAAACTAACAAGCACATTTTCCACTGTCCACAGTAGCAGTAGCTAACATTTTTATAAAGATATAAGGTTTACAAAGTGATTTTATGTATGCAATACTCTCTGTTGCAGAGTAGCAGACAAAGCACCAGACCTTGGATTTCAAAGACCCGAGTCTATATCTCAATCGTCTCAATCCTGCCATTATGTGACGCTGGAAAGAGTGCTAATGCTGCCTGCCTCACAGGGAGTTGTTGGGATTATCTGAGATAGTACATGTAAACATAACTACCCCTTTGCAGGTGCTCAGTGATGATTGTCGTGACCCAATCTACTGCCTTCCCACTTCTCCAACCATTTAATTTGAAGAGTGAAATTGCCTAAATTGTCTGCTCTACATCTGAAGATATGGTGGCCCCAGAGTGACCCCCTATGTAGATCAGATGGTCAATGACAATAGAGGTTAACTGAGAAGATCATAATAGGAGATTCAGACAGGAAAGCTGGAATAGAAGACAACGTCAGCTAGGTTGACCCATCTTCAGATAAAATCTTATTGCCAATCCAGACTTCCTAGAAATTATTTTCTAGCTAAGCATGATTCTTGTTAGTTGCTGAGCTAATGTGATTATGCTGTATCCATGTGACCAAAGGAAACACTTTGAATAAAACACAGAAGAATGTTAACATTTAACTCTACAATAGAGGTCTTGTCTCTTGCCTCTTTTTCTTCTCCCATGTTTTGTTTCAAAACTCCAGGACTGAGTCCTCAGCTCCCTCAAGAGAAGGGGGCTGGGGCTCACACAGCAACTGTATTTGAAGGAAAGCAGTGATTACCTCTCCTATCTTTCACAGTCAAATAAATATTTACTAAGTAAGGACACATAGCATACATTAAAATTAATGCTTCGCACAGCTTTGGAAATGTCTGTCATATCTGTCAATGTTTCAATAGCTCCACGACTGTGAATGGCTCTGCTGTCTCTCAGTGAGAGCTGCCATTTTCCTGATGGTGCTCTGCAGGAGGCTGGGCCTGATTACACACTCGGAGCCTGAGGACGGGCAGCTAAGCGGACGAAAGCTCAAGGGAGAGAGGGAGAGCTTATAAAGTTATTGTTCAGTGAGGTCTGCGGCTGCTCTACAATATTTTTGGAGAGCAATTTAATGGTGATTTCAAATAAAGAGAGGAAGCTACACCTAATAGGCACATCCGTGTTTATAGACTATTAACAAAGAAAAACTGGAGAAAACTGACAATCATCTTTACTTGGTTAAATAGCCTATGCAGAGTTATGTCTTCTCTGTGTCAAGTTGTCACCAGCCCAAGGGTTTCAGAAAGGACAGTTTACACTTAAAAGATATTGATGTGTGTGTTTCCCCAAGTGTCATTCACCCAATGCCTGTGCATCATGGAGATATTTGAACTTGGATAATTTTCTTTTAGTGTTCTTCGCTCCTCTAGGAACAATGTCAACTCCTGACACTAATCTGGCTACTGAAATGATGGCTTCCAGTTTCATTAATGATATATTTATGATCCTTTTAAAATGCCAGTGATCTACTCTTTTTGGAAAATATACACAGCCATTAAGAAAGCCATATTTTTCAGCTGTTGCTCCTTCCATTGGCACCTCAGTTTCACTGCAGCTACAGTCACCAGAGGATGGAAAGAAATTTGCGGGCTATTTTGGGACAGTGAGAGAAACAGATCTGGAGAGATACAGAAATAGAGAAAGCAAGAGGTGAAATGAGAAATAGCAAACAGAGAGGTATGTGTTACACAGTTGACTACATTTTCCCAAGTATTCAGAAATAAATTAGTGACATTCCTGAATGTGCCGGAATGTCTTGCTTCATTCCAGCTGTGTTTTTTCTGTGACTCATATGTTAGGGTCCCATCTCATCAACTCTGGCATATGAGTGTTCTGATTTAACATCGGTGCTGGCTTCCTGGGTTTTTTTGTTTTTTGTTTTTTTTGTTTTGTTTTGTTTTAGAAAGACGCAATTATTTTTGTTAAGAAGAAAGCCAGTCTTTCCTGTCAATATTTTTATCAATGTATATGCCTCCCCATAAAAGGTATTTTACATTATAGAAATGAGATTGGAAAATAATTACAGAGGTTCTATCTCTAATGCTTTTTGAAGTTACTTGGCTATTTGGAACATGTTTATTACCTCAGTGTAAATGGCAAAATAAATAAATAAATAAGCTTGCATGTATAATTCTAGCACTGAGAAGCAACTGAGGTATTCATTTGGGTTTCCCAGAAGCAGAACCTGAGATGAGGATTGTTTCATCGGTGACCTACTAAAGAAGGATTCTCTGGAGAAATTGGTAAGCGTCGGGAAATCAGAATAGGAAAAAGGAAGAAGCTGAACATGATGTAATATCAGGTGAAGTTCCAGCCTCAACCTGAATCTGTGGGGAACTCTGGAGGATATTTAATGTTGCAGTTTGGTCTACACTGGGGCAAAGGAGCTGGAATTTCATACTGCTGCACCAGTAAAACATTGGCTTCAGATGCCCTCAAGGGATGTAAACTACCAAGCACTTTGGCTCTCGGGAGGTCCAAGCAAAAATTGTCCAACAGCTCAAAAGTGGTTCTCTTCAGAAGGTCACTAGTATAAGCTGTTAGAGGCAAAGCAGCCAGAAGCTGTAGGATGGTATACAAGGGGATTTGTCTGGATCACCAACAGCATCCACTACGACATATGACCTTCATTTATTCACCAAATAATCATTTAGTGCCTACTGTGTGCCAGGTTCTGGGCGAAGTACTAGGCTTATTAAAGTGAACAAGAAATTATTTTCTGAAAAAGTTCAACACCCAGCAGAAGGAATGGGATATAAAGTGGTCACTAAAATATAATGTGTTTGGTGCTTCAAGGATAAAAGTACTATGAAACCATATAACAGCCAAGAGGGGATGTCATGAAAAACTTCAGAGAGAACATAATCTTCTTTTTTTTTTTTTTTTTTTTTGAGACAGAGTCTCACTCTGTCACCCAGGTGGCAGTGGCACAATCTAGGCTCATGGCAACCTCCATCTCCCAGGTCCAAGTGATTCTCTGCCTCTGCTTCAGCCTCCCAAGTAGCTGGGACTACAGGCACCCACCACCATGCCTGGCTAATTTTAGTATTTTTAGTAGAGACGGTCTTACCATGTTGGCCGGGCTGGTCTCGAGCTCCTGTCCTCCAGTGATCCACCCTGCTCAGCCTCCCAAAGTGCTGGGATTACAGGCATGAGTCACCACGCCCAGCCCAAAGAGAACATAATCTTAAGCATCAAACACTCTTGAACAAGTAGAAGAACTCAAAAACATTGTGAAAAGATGAAGTATTGCATCCTCAGCTCCTCAGCTTAGCTGAGCTCTGCACACACCCTGGATCACTGTTGTTTTTCTGAGATATTCATTAAGTATGTGCCCTGGAAACATTTTCTGGGGATCTGATATGTTCTAGGAACCGCCACAGGCACTGGAGACACAAAGAAAAACAACAGTCCCAACCTTTAGAGGAGCTCACATCTTGAGCTCATCATTTCCCATTCTGGAAATTCAGATTCTTCATCTGAAAAATAAAATGTATAAACCCTTGGCACCTGTCCATACTCAAGAATAATACTTAAAAAAAAAAAAAGAACTCAACGGAAATGCTCCAAACGATTAAAATCTCAGATCTCAGAAGCCCCCAGAAAACAACCAACAAGCAACTTTTCTTTTTTTTCCCCCTTCTTTGTAGAAGGTGCGGGCACAGTTAGTTACAGATTTAAACTCAGCTCTTAGAATGAATGACTATTATCCCCAGTGAAATATCTATAATGTCTTAATCTACCACCAAAAATAAAAATAAAAAAGTAAATGAATCTTAAGCTCCCTGTGATAATAGTCCCTATCATGAACAGCCAAACAAAATCAATTATAGGAAAGCATCAGAATGAAGGATGGTGACACCCTGGGCCAGACAGATGTGGACATAATTGTCAGTAGAAAATGAAGAAGAAAGGAGAATAATGCAGAGGAAAAGCAAGACCTAAGCAATTCTTGCCTCATATAGCCTGCCCCAGTTTACAAACTGAGATGCCCTCCCTGGGCCAGTCCAAATCTTGTCTAAACTTTCCCATCAAGCCATGTTGTACCTTTCTAATGAAATAGTCCAAACCCTTATTTTAACCTTGATAGTTCTTGTGCTGACATCAGTCATTGAGTTCTCTACAAATCTTCTGGCCTAATTTCTTAACTATCTCTTGTATCCCCTACTAGTATGTAAACTCTTTGAAGGTAAAAATTTTTCTTTGTTTCTTCTTTTCACTCTCCAAGCTGAGTGAAGGGAAATGGAAGACATGAGAACTCATGCTTGCTAAGGAAGAAATGGGTAGCGTCTCCTCAAGCTCTAAGTGTGCCTTCAAATTCTGAAACACAAACCAAAATGTGGGTGCAGGAAAGATCACACATTGGCAACAATGCAGATGAGTCATCAAATTTAGTAAGATTAGCATAGAAATGACAGAAAGGATGGCTGAGATCAGAATCTGACTCCTGTGAAAAAGATGCCAACACTAATCAAAGGGTTGAAAAGGACACAAGGCAGGAAGGAATAAGTCAAGATCAGAGCTAGCAGGAACTAAAAGGGAAGACGGCAGAGAAATAAAATTTGAAAGATAGGGCCACAGTGTGCAGACAGCTCTCTGCTGAGGTCCACCTCTTTTGACGACAAAGTCCACTCAGCCATCATTGCTGAATTGTGGTGATGGCCACCCAAAAGCACGATAAGTTGCATGTCTTCAGAGTTTATATGAAATTCCAGTTTTAAGGATGAAAATCTTAAAGACTACATCGATTCACTATTCCTCTATTTAATGTGCTGAAACAATTACAGAGACTATGAAATGACTATGACCAAGAGGATAGAAGAACCTGTCCTCCAGGTATGTGAACAATCTATGAAGATATTCGCTTTGTTTCCAATATGTATCTTTGACTTTTTTATAGTAATAAGGGTGAAAATGGGTAGAAATTTCCTGAAAGTGGAAAAAACACTTAAGGAAGTAGAGAAATTGAATACCTGGGTCAACACTGTCTATAGAGCCTTCTGTGATTATGGAAATCTTCTGTATCTGCCCTGTCCAATCACTGTGCTGGCCACTAGACGCATGTGGTTATTGAACACTTGTAATGTGACTGAAGAGGAACTGATTTTCTTTTAATTTTCTCTAATTCTAATTAACTTAAATAGACACATGTGGCCAGTGGCTCCCATATTGGACAGTGATAACCTAATCATCATCTAAAAGGATGAAGAGAAAACAAATAATGAGGTTGAAGGAAGAGAATAAAAAAGAAAAATAATGACTAAATTGAGAAAGTGATGAGAATGGGCAACAAAGGTAGTCAGTAGAAGGAAAGAGTGAACAAGACCATCTAGGAGATCTGTTTTTATTTAAAAGAAGATTTGTTGCCAGGAAATAGATCAGCCTAAGACCAGAGTTAAAAGAGCTTAGCTAGGAGAGGTGAGATTGGCAAGAGGCCTTGTCAGGAAACATCAACTAGTTTCTACAATCTGGAAGAATGTTGAGCTAAGAATTCCTTCTATGTTCAATTTCTAGGATCCTAAATAAAGCCATGTGCACTGTCTGTTTCAATTTTAGATTGGGCCAAGGAATATCCCTACAAGTCACTTTATTTGATGCTACTTTCTAAGGAATGGCAGTTCTCATTCTTTGAAAGACAACTCTGACTAGCTGGGTCTTAAGTCCAAAAAATAAGACAAAAATTAACAAATGCTGGCAAGGATGTGGAGAAAACGGAACTCTTATACACTGTTGATGGAAATGTAAACTAGTACAGCCACTATGAATAACAGTATGGAGGTTCCTCAAAAAACTACAAATATTATAGAAAGACCATATGATACAGCAATCCTACTACTGGGCATTTGTCCAAAAGAAATCAAATCAGTATATCAAAAAGACATCTGCAGTGTCCTGTTTCCTGCAGCACTATTCTCAATAGCCAAGATATGGAATCAAAGTGTCCAACAACAGATGAATGGATAAAGAAAGTGTGCATATATATATATATATATATATATATATATATATATATATATATACATATAAATATAATGGAATACTATTCAGCCATAAAAAAGAATGCAATCCTATCAATTGCAACAACATGGATGGAACTAGAGAACATTATTTTAAGTCAAATAAGCCAGGAACAAAAAGTTAAACACCAGCCAGGCATGGTGGCTCACGCCCGTAATCCCAGCAATTTGGGAGGCCGAGGTGGGCAGACCATGAGGTCAGGAAATCGGGACAATCCTGGCTAACACAGTGAAACCCCGTCTCTACTAAAAAATACAAAAAATTAGCTGGGCATGGTGGTGGGCACCTGTAGTCCCAGCTACTTGGGAGGCTGAGGCAAGAGAATGGGGTCAACCCCAGAGGCAGAGCTTGCAGTCAGCCGAGATCATGCCACTGCACTCCAGCCTGGGTGACAATGAGACTCTGTCTCAAAAAAAAAAAAAAAAAAAGTTAAACACCACATGTTCTCACTCATGCGGAAGCTGAAAATGTTTATCTCTTAGAAATAAAAAGTAAAACAGAGGATACCATAGGGTGGAAAAGAGGGATAGGGAGAGATTTGTTAAAAGATACAAAACTACGGCTAAATAGGAGGTATAAGTTCAAGTGTTCTATAGCATTGTAGAATGACTATGGCTAACTATAATATATTTTATAGTTTCAAATAGCTAGAATGAAGATATTGAATGTTCCCAACACAAAAAAGATAAATGTTTCAGATGATGTATATTCTAATTGTCCTGGTCTGATCACTATATATTACATGTATTGAAACATCACTATGTACCCCATAAATATGTACAATTTGTATATATCAATTTTTAAAATTAGAAAATAAATAAATTTTATATCAAGAGATAATATTCATCCTTGAATATTATTGCATTTCATTGATTTACTGACTGTAGATGTTTGTGGAATTTTGTCCATACATACACAGAAAAGCAAATAGCTTCACTTCTCATTTAAGAAATGGGGAACTCTTAACACAAGTGCGTAAACCAAACAAACCAATCCACTTTTCTCCTGTTCAGTTAGAGACATTTTTCTGAACACTTGGAGACTCCACTGAGGTTATTAAAAACTTCAAGGGAGGGGAAGTACCTGCAGAAGAAGAGCAGAAGAAACGTGCTTTCTTTTTTCTTTAAACATGGGAAGTTGCTCCCAGACTAAGTCATTGCATTGCTTGATTTGCACCTTCCCCTTATGTAGGCAATGCCTATCTGACTATCATGCTTATGTATTATACAAAAAAGCTACCCAGTGGAGCAAAAATAACTAGTATCTTCAATGAGTTAAAACATTTAGAAAGCCTTTCCACAGCAATTAGCTCCATGATCCCCAGATCATCCTTATTTTGCCGAAAAGACAACTAAGACCCACAAGATATGGTGGTCTGCACAAGGCTGCCCAGATGACGGGCAAGAGCAGCCCAGGTTTCCTTCAGCCAAATCCTACTTGAATGCACTTAACCCAGGACCTGACTTGTAAGGAACTGACTGTTTCCTTCCTCAAGACCATGTACACAGCAGAATTCATACTTCTCAGGCCAAAGGAAAGTTTCCACAATACAATACCTGAAAACCAGGCAGGTCAAGAGCCATCAATGCATTTAGATACTCACTGTCAAGTTTACTCTTATATGAGGCACACATCTCCCAAATGTTGGCCAGAGGAGAGAACAGAACGATTGTTAAGTAGGTGCAAGAAATGTTACAAATCAAAAATCTGAAGTGGACTTTTTAGGTCCAAATTAGTGAGTGGTTGATAAGAAAAGCTGCCACGTTCTTACTATATGTGGGACAATGAGCTCAGAGTTTTATAAGCAGTTTTCACAAAAAATAAAAAAATTACAAGTTGATTCTGTAGTAGCTATGGTGACTCTCCAACATTTATTTCTCTTGAGATGACTGATTTGCAACCATCACGATAATTCTATCCTCACTACTCGTCATTACTTTGGGAATAAGCTGCTAACCCGGTAGCCTTTTGTTTTGTTGTGTCGTGTTTGTTTTAGAAACAGCCTTGCACTGTCACCAGCCCTAGCTCACTGCAACCTCAAACTCCTGGGCCCAAGTGATCCTCCCACCTCAGCCCCCTGAGTAGGTAGGACTATAGGCATGCACCATCACATCCAGATAATTTTATTTTTGTTTGTGGATACAGGGTCTCACTATGTTGCCCAGGCTGGTCTCAAACATCTAGCCTTAAGTGATCCTCCCACCTTGGCCTCCCAAAGTGCTGGGATTACTGATATAAGCCAATACACCCAGCCATACCAGCGGTCTTGAAATAAAATTTCCTTCACTCTTAAGAGACACTGGAAAATGCGGCCCTCTGAAAATGAGAGTTTTCCTCTGAAAGAAGTCAACCCTGAAGATGGTAACACTAAAAGATGGAAAGAACATCACTGTGTCATTGAATCTCTCACAACCCTGGAATCCACTGTGCCTTTGAACTTTTCATTATGTAAAATAATCAATTATTTTATTATCAAAACATCTGTTATTTATAGCCAAAATCATCCCAACTCATATATTCTATCAGTCTCATTTAAAGAAAAGAAAACTGATGCTTGAAGACATTAAGCAATCAAATCACATAGGTAGTAAATAGCCAAGTTGGGATTTGAGAACAGATCCTTCTGATTTCAAAGCCTAAGATCTTAACCACAAAATGAACTGAACCTATTTTCTTAAGTTTCCAGAAATTGTTGGCCACTATCATTCCAAAAATATTTTTAATTCACAGTAGAAAAGTGCCAGACTTAACAAAAAATTATTTGACTAATTATGTTTTTAGATTTATTAACCCTGATCCTCATGTATTACTCTTTTTTTCCTATTCAAATACTCATGCACACCCTCAAGGAACTCAACACCAAATACAGTGAGTGCAGCAGTTCTCAATTCCTTTTGTATTTTTTATTTTTAAACACAAGAATATATTTTTAAATACTGGATATATTTTTAAATACTAGAAATCTGGGCATGGAGGGTTTAGGTTTCCTCCATCAGTCACAAAGCACTGTCGAACTGTTGGGTAAAGCATGGGCTGCTCTGGCGTGACATAAATTTCTGATCTTTATCCATTTCTGGTCTGCTATTGACAATATTTAGCTCTCTTTGCAGCAACTAACACCCTGCTTTAGACCACATTGCATAATTTACTGATATGGTTTGGCTGTGTCCCCACCCAAATCTCATCTTGAATTGTAACTCCTATAATTCTCACATGTTGTGGAAGGGACCTAGTGGGAGATAACTGAATCATGGGGTTGGTTCCCCCATATTGTTCTTGTGGTAGTGAATAAGTCTCATAAGTCTCATGAGATCTGATGGTTTTATAAGGGGAAACCCCTTTTGCTTGGCTCTCATTTTCTCTCTTGTCTGCCGCCATATAAGACATGCCTTTTGCTTTCTGCCATGATTGTGAGGCCTCCCCAGCCACATAGAATTGTGAGTCTTTTAAACCTCTTTTTCTTTACAAATTACCCAGTCTTGGATATGTCTTTATCAGTAGTGTGAAAATGAACTAATACACTTACTCAACTCAATGTACCTTCTTACACATTGTAATAAATGAGTGTAAGGCCGGGCACGGTGGCTTCATGCCTGTAATCCCAGCACTTTGGGAGGCTGAGGCAGGAGGAGGTCAATAGTTCGAGACCATCGTGGCCAATATGGTGAAACCCCAACTCTACTAAAAAAAAAATACAAAAATTATCTGGGTGTGGTGGCACGTACTTATAGTCCCAGCTACTTGGAGGCTGGGAGGCTGAGACAGGAGAATTGCTTGAACCCAGGAGGTGGGGTTTGCAGTGAGCCAAGGTGGTGCCACTGCACTCCAGCCTGGGTGACAGAGTGAGACTCCATCTCAAAAAACAAAACAACAACCAAAAAAGAGTGTACTCAGTTACAGCAAAAATAAGCTTTACACTTGGACCCACACTTGATAGTACACCAGGAAAGGGTTCATGGTGTAGGATGTAGCTGTCAATTTTAACGCAATAGTCAAATACCTATCTGGTTAAAAAGAAAGATTTGTCAAAACTAATTACAGTAATGTCTAAGGAAATTCAAGATGAGGGTTCTTCTTGAAGGATTATCAGAGAAAGCTTTGGCTGGGCATGGTGGCTCACACCTGTAATCCCAGCATTTTGGGAGGCTGAGGCAGGCAGATCAGGAGGTCAGGAGATCAAGACCATCCTGGCCAACATGGTGAAACCCTGTCTCTACTAAAAATACAAAAATTAGCTGGGCTTGGTGGCACTTGCCTGTAATCCCAGCTACTTGAGAGGCTGAGGCTGGAGAATTGCTTGAACCAGGGATTCAGAGGTTGCAGTGAGCCAAGATTGCGCCACTGCACTCCAGCCTGGTGGCAGAGCAAGGATCTGTCAAAAAAAAAAAAAAAAAGAGAGAGAGAGAAAGCTTCATGGAGGTGGGGGCTTTTGAGCTGATCTGTGAAAGAGGAGTTGAGGTAAGCCTATCTAAGAAGGAAAGTTGCAGGGAATGTGGAGGAGGGGATTCCAGGTGGAGGTAAAAATATGGGCAGAGGCACAGTGACATGACTTTTCTTGTAGTCACAGATTAGGGTTGCCCAGTGAAGCCGCGTATAACTTCTAATAGGAGAGAGACTCAGTCAGTCCCTTCTCATCAAAGAAATGAGAGCTTGATAAGGATGTCTATGAACTTTAAGGTAAAAATTATGGTAATTATTATTGCTTCTAGACATATAACACATATCACAATTTAAAAGAAATTTTACATATATTATCTAAGTTGCCATTTACAACAGCTCTTATTATTATTTACACTCTACTGATGAGGAAACCAAATTTCAGAAAGATTGTCTGGCTTGCCAATGATTACACAGCAAATATTCAGCTAAAATTGCAAGTAAAATGCTCTTTCCATCAGATCACCAGCATCACCTCTGAGTATGTGTAAGCTCAAGACCATGGGGAAATTAACATGTATATTTTCATTGATGCCAATGAGCACAGCATAATTATTGAGTAAATCAAGCATTGGGGAAAATTTTACATTTTTTTCTTTCTAGCTTATACTTTCCCAAACTGTGGTCTTATAATTTAAAAACAAAAATTAGGAACATAGTGAATGCATCTGAGATGTAAATGGTGATATCTCTCTATATTTCAAAACTATTCTTTATTGCATATTTAAGAGTACTTATTGCTTTCTTGACTGTAAAGTAATTTATACTCATTTTATAAAATTTCGGGGGTGAAAGCTCACTTTAATTTAATCATCTGTTAATATTGCATTAATGCATTTTTTTGCTTCTATGCATATATATATGTATGTATTTACCTCATGAGCCACCAATTTTTTTCTCAGATTGCTCATCAACAGAAGTGGAAGAAAAGACAAGCAAACCATGTTAGTTATATAAAACACTTCATGCTGAACAAGCCACAAGCTAGGATTGCTAGGATTGCTCCAAATCTCACTGTTGAAGCAAATAGAGTATAACAAGGAGACCTTGTTCAACTGAAGATATCTAAACATTAAGAGCATATCTGGTGGGTCACTGTTCCAAGATAGTCAAATAGTAAAAGCTCTGGTCTGCAGCTCCCTGCATGATCAACGCAGAAGATGGGTGATTTCTGCATTTCCAACTGAGGTACCTGGTTCATCTCATTAGGACTGGTTGGACAGTGGGTGCAGCCCATGGAGGGCAAGCCCAAGCAGGGCAGGGCATCACCTCACCCAGGAAGTGCAAGGGGTCAGGGGATTTCCCTTTCCTAGCCAAGGGAAGCTGTAACAGACTGTAGCTGGAAAACCGGGACACTTCTGCCCAAATACTGCACTTTTGCAATGGTCTTAGCAAACGGCACACCAGGAGATTATATCCCACACCTGGCTCGGTGGGTCCCATGCCCACCGAGCCTTGCTCACTGCTAGCACAGCAGTCTGAGATCAACCTGTGAGGCAGCAGCCTGGCAGGGGGAGGGGCATCTGCCATTGCTGAGGCTTGAGTAGGTAAACAAAGTGGCCAGGGAAGCTTGAACTGGGCGGAGCCCACCGCAGCTCAGCAGGGCCCACTGCCTCTGTAGACTCCACCTCTGGGGGCAGGGCATAGCTGAACAAAAGGCAGCAGAAACTTATGCAGACTTAAACGTTCCAGTGTGACAGCTCTGAAGAGAGCAGTGGTTCTCCCAGCAAGGTGTTTGAGCTCTGAGAACAGACAGAGTGCCTCCTCAAGTGGGTCCCTGACTCCCACGTAGCCTAACTGGGAGACATCTCCCAGTAGGGGCCAACTGACACCTCACACAGGTGGGTGCCCCTCTGGGACAAAGCTTCCAGATATTTGTTGTTCTGCAATATTTGCTGTCCTGCAGCCTCTGCTGGTGATACCCAGGCAAACAGGGTCTGGAGTGGACCTCCAGCAAACTCCAACAGACTGCAGCTGAGGGACCTGACCATTAGAAGGAAAAATAACAAACAGAAAGTAATAGCATCAACATCAACAAAAAGGACATGCACACCAAAACCCCATCTGTAGGTCACCAACATCAAAGACCAAAGGCAGATCAAACTACAAAAATGGGGAGAAACCAGAGCAGAAAAGCTGAAAATTCTAAAAACCAGAACGCCTCTTCTCCTCCAAAGGATCGCAGCTCCTCGCCAGCAGTGAAACAAAGTTGGACAGAGAATGAGTTTGATGAGTTGACAGAAGTAGGCTTCAGAAGGTCGGTAAGAACAAACTTCTCTGATCTAAAGGAGGATGTTCAAACCCATCACAAGGAAGCTAAAAACCTTGAAAAAAGATTAGACAAATGGCTAACTAGAATAAACAGTATAGAGAAGACCTTAAAAGACCTGATGGAGCTGAAAACCATGGCACAAGAACTACTGACACATGCACAAGCTTCAATAGCCAATTCGATTAAGTGGAAGCAAGGGTATCAGTGATTGAAGATCAAATTAATGAAATAAAGTGAGAAGAGAAGTCTAGAGAAAAAAGAGTAAAAAGAAACGAACAAAACCTCCAAGAAATATGGGACTATGTGAAAAGACTAAATCTAGGTTTGATTTGTGTATCTGAAAGTGACGAGGAGAATGGAACCAAGTCGGAAAACACTCTGCAGGATATTATCCAGGAGAACTTCCCCAACCTAGCAAAACAGGCCAACATTCAAATTCAGGAAATACAGAGAACACCACAAAGATACTCCTCAAGAAGAGCAACACCAAGACACATAATTGTCAGATTCACCGAGGTTGAAATGAAGGAAAAAATGTTAAGGGCAGCCAGAGAGAAAGGTCGGGTTACCCACAAAGGGAAGCCCATCAGACTAATAGCGGATCTCTCAGCAGAAATTCTACAGGCCAGAAGAGAGTGGGGGCCCATATTCAACATTCTTAAAGAAAAGAATTTTCAGTCCAGAATTTCATATCCAGCCAAACTAAGCTTCATAAGTGAATGAGAAATAAAATCCTTTACAGAGCAGCAAATGCTATGAGATTTTGTCACCACCAGGCCTGGCTTACAAGAGTTCCTGAAGGAAGCACTAAACATGGAAAGGAACAACTGGTACCAGCCACTGCAAAAACATGCCAAATTGTAAAGACCATCAATGCTAGGAAGAAACTGTATCAACTAATGGGCCAAATAACCAGCTAACATCATAATGACAGGATCAAATTCACACATAACAATATTAACCTTAAATGTAAATGGGCTAAATGCCCCAATTAAAAGACACAGACTGGCAAATTGGATAAAGAGTCAAGACCCATCAGTGTGTTGTATTCAGGAGACCCATCTCATGTGCAGAGACACACATAGGCTGAAAATAAAGGGATGGAGGAAGATCTACCAAGCAAATGGAAAGCAAAAAAAGAGCAGGGGTTGCAATCCTCATTTCTGATAAAACAAACTTTAAGCCAACAAAGATCAGAAGAGACAAAGAAGGCCATAACATAATGGTAAAGAGATCAATTCAACAAGAAGAGTTAACTATCCTAAATATATATGCACCCAATACAGGAGCACCTAGATTCATAAAGCAAGTCCTTAGAGACCTACAAAGAGACTTAGATTCCCACGCAATAATAATGGGAGACTTTAACACCACACTGTCAATATTAGACAGACGAACGAGACAGAAGGTTAACACGGATATTCAGGATTTGAACTCAGCTCTGCACCAAGTGGATCTAAAAGACATCTACAGAACTCTCCACCCCAAATCAACAGAATATACATTCTTCTCAACACTGCATCTCACTTATTCCAAAACTGACTACATAGTTGGAAGTAAAGCACTCCTCAGCAAATGTAAAAGAACAGAAATCACAACAAACTGTCTCTCAGACCACAGTGCAATCAAATTAGAACTCAGGATTAAGAAACTCATTCAAAACTGCACAACTACATGGCATCTCAACAACCTGCTCCTGAATGACTACTGGGTAAATAACGAAATGAAGGCAGAACTAAAGATGTTCTTTGAAAACAAAGAAAACAAAGACACAACAGAATCTCTTGGACACATTTAAAGCAGCGTGTAGAGGGAAATTTATATCACTACATGCCAACAAGAGAAAGCAGAAAAGATCTAAAATCGACACCCTAACATCTCAATTAAAAGAACTAGAGAAGTAAGAGCAAACAAATTCAAAAGCTAGCAGAAGGCAAGAAATAACTAAAGATCAGAGCAGAATTGAAGAAGATAGAGGCACAAAAAATCCTTCAAAAAAATCAATGAATCCAGGAGCTGGTTTTTTGAAAAGATCAACAAAATTGATAGACCACTAGCCAGACTAATAAAGAAGAAAAGAGAGAAGAATCAAATAGATGCAATAAAAAATGATAAAGGGGATATAACCACCCATCCCACAGAAATACAAACTACCATCAGAGGATACTATAAATACCTCTACACAAATAAACTAGAAAATCTAGAAGAAATGGATAAATTCCTGGACACATACAACCTCCCAAGACTAAACCAGGAAGAATTTGAATCTCTGAATAGACCAATAACAGGCTCTGAAATTGAGGCAATAATTAATAGTCTACCAACCAAAAAAAGTCCAGGACCAGACGGATTCACAGCCAAATTCTACCAGAGGTACAAAGAAGTGCTGGTACCATTCCTTCTGAAACTATTCCAATCAATAGAAAAAGAGGGAATCCTCCCTAACTCATTTTATGAGGCCAATGTCATTTTGATATGAAAGCCTGGTAGAAACACCATAAAAAAAGAGAATTTTAGACCAATATCCATGATAAACATCAATGGGAAAATCTTCAATAAAATACTGGTAAACCAAATCCAGCAGCACGTCAAAAAGCTTATCCACCATGATCAAGTGGGCTTCATCCCTGGGATGCAAGTGTCGTTCAACATACGCAAATCAATAAACGTAATCCATCACATAAAAAGAACCAATGACAAAAACCACATGATTATCTCAGTAGATGCAGAAAAGGCCTTTGAAAAAATTTAACAACACTTCATGCTAAAAACTCTCAATAAACTAGGATTGATGGAACATATCTCAAAATAATAAGAGCTATTTATGACAACCCCACAGCCATTATCATACTGAATGGGCAAAAACTGGAAGCTGGACGCATTCCCTTTGAAAACCAGCACAAGATAAGGATGCCCTCTCTCACCGCTCCTGTTCAACATAGTGTTGGAAATTCTGGCCAGGGCAATCAGGCAAGAGAAAGAAATAAAGGGTATTCGATTAGGAAAAGAGGAAGTCAAATTGTCCCTGTTTGCACATGACATGATTGTATATTTAGGAAACCCCATCACCTCAGCCCAAAATCTCCTGAAGCTGATAAGCAACTTCAGCAAAGTCTCAAGTTGCAAAATCAATGTACAAAAATCACAAGCATTCCTGTACACCAACAACAGACAAACAGAGAGCCAAATCATAAGTGAGCTCCCGTTCACAATTGCTACAAAGAGAATAAAATACCTAGGAATCCAACTTACAAGGGATGTGAAGGACCTCTTCAGGGAGAACTACAAACCACTGCTCAACGAAATAAGAGCACACAAACAAATGGAAGAACATTCCATGCTCATGGATAGAAAGAATCAATATCGTGAAAATGGCCATACTGGCCAAGATAAGTTATAGATTCAATGCCATCCCCATCAAGCTACCAATGACTTTCTTCACAGAATTGGAAGAAACTACTTTAAAGTTCATATGGAACCAAAAAAGAGCCCGCATCACCAAGACAATCCTAAGCAAAGAGAACAAAGCTGGAGGCACCATGCTACCTGACTTCAAACTATACTACAAGGCTACAGTTACCAAAACAGCATGGTACAGTACCAAAACAGAGATACAGACCAATGGAACGGAACAGAGGCCTCAGAAATAACACCACACATCTACAACCATCTGATCTTTGACAAACCTGACAAAAACAAGAAAGGGGAAAGGATTCCCTATTTAATAAATGGTGCTGGGAAAACTGGCTAGCCGTATGTAGAAAGCTGAAACTGGATCCCTTCCTTACCCCTTATACAAAAATTAATTCAAGATGGATTAAAGACTTAAATGTTAGATCTAAAACCATAAAAACCCTAGAAGAAAACCTAGGCAATACCATTCAGGACATAGGCATGGGCAAGGACTTCATGACTAAAACACCAAAAGCAATGGCAACAAAAGCCAAATAGATAAATGGGATCTAATTAAACTAAAGAGCTTCTGTGCAGCAAAAGAAATTACCATCAGAGCGAACAGCCAACCTACAGAATAGGAGAAAATTTTTGCAATCTACCCATCTGACAAAGGGCTACTATCCAGAATCTACAAAGAACTTAAACAAATTTTCAAGAAAAAAACAAACCATCCCATCAAAAAGTGGGCAAAGTATATGAACAGACACTTCTCAAAAGAAGACATTTAGGCAGCCAACAGACACATGAAAAAATGCCCATGATCGCTGTTCATCAAAGAAATGCAAATCAAAACCACAATGAGATACCATCTCATGCCAGTTAGAATGGTGATCATTAAAAAGTCAGGAAACAACAGGTGCTGGAGAGGATGTGGAGAAATATGAACGCTTTTACACTGTTGATGGGAGTGTAAACTAGTTCAACCACTGTGGAAGACAGTGTGGCGATTCCTCAAGGATCTAGAACTAGAAATACCATTTGACCCAGCCATCCTATTACTGGGTATATACCCAAAGGATTATAAATCATGCTACTATAAAGACACATGAACACATGTTTATTGCAGCACTATTCACAACAGTAAAGACTTGGAACCAACCCAAATGTCCATCAGTGATAGACTGGATTAAGAAAATGTGGCACATATACACCATGGAATACTATGTAGCCATAAAAAAGGATGAGTTCATTTCCTTTGCAGGGACATGGATGCAGCTGGAAACCATCATTCTCAGCAAACTATTACAAGGACAGAAAACCAAACACTGCATGTTCTCACTCATAGGTGGGAATTGAACAATGAGAACACTTGGACACAGGGCGGGGAACATCATACACACAACAACACACACACCCACACACACCTGTCATGGGGTTGGGGGCAGGGGGAGGGATAGAATTAGGAGAAATAACTAATGTAAATGATGAGTTAATGGGTGCAGCAAACCAACATGGCACATGTATACCTATGTAACAAACCTGCACATTATGCACATGTACCCTAGAACTTAAAGTATAATAAAAAAATAAAAATAAAAAAAGAGAGCATATCTAAGTTGCTGGTCTTTCTCAAACCCAGGAATACCAATGGGATATAACAAAGTGAATGGTAAGAAAGTCACTTTGAGACATGATCTTAAAGAAAATCACAGTTTTGTGGTCCCAGCAAAGATGAACTCTCTTCATGAGTCTAAGATTCCAGAAAGTTTAACTACCACTTGCTGGTCCCCATAACCCAAACTGAATGTTATGTCTATGTTCCCCACAATATACAGTCAGAATGCATTAAGATACAAGTGTGAACAATGAAACTTAGGACCATGAAGATGGTGGTCAGTAGGAAAATCAGAAAGCAAGATGCCATGCCTAGAATCAGCAAAAAACGAAAGCTAACACCCTCTTATCCATGCTCCCTACGAAGTACAAAATCTTAAAGGAGGACCACTAGGATGTTGTTCTGAAAGATACATGATCATCACTTGAAATAAACAAGTTAATCCATGAATTATCTTATCTACTCCAATTGGATATATCACTCCCCCGACCACACCTACATGGGAATGACTGCTATATATACCCTGTCTCTGTGCTTACCTAAGCGTCATCTAACTTCTGCAATTAATGCAGCTTCCAGCCTCAAAATCTGGCTCCTACTCAAAATGTGCAAAGGTCCAATCCCTACCCTTCATAGCAAAATTATCTGGTATCAGTGGTTGTAAAATAAAACAATTTTCATGGGACTTATCTATGTTAAAAACATTATTCATCTTTTAAAGATGTCAGCTCTGGAAACCTTTGAAGTTCATCATTTATCTTCATGTGATATTTCCAATCACTTAAGGAATAAGTAGAAATGTATTGATCACTTATATGCCAAGCATTCCATGAAGAGCTAAGAGGAACTACAATAAAAGAAAGTACTATTTCTGCTCTCAACAAGCTTGCGGTCTATTAAGAAAAACATAAGTTACACAAGATACATTGGACAACGCAGTATTTGCAGTACTTATAAGTCAGGGGAATATATAATTTAATACTGTATTGTAAAGAGGTCACTCTTATACACTAAGAAGAGGGTAAGGCCCTGTGGACCACAGGCAGAGTTGTCTAATGGAAAACATACTGAAGTCAGAACCTAAGTTCAAGTCCTGACAGCATTATTTTCTAGTTGAGTGGCCTTGGCAACCTCTTTGAGCCTTTAAACTAGATGGCTTTGCCCCCTTCCTGCCATAAAACTCGACAACTCTCTATATCTCATCTTGAGATACAATGAAGGCAGAATAAACTTTGTATAAATAAAGAGGAACAAAAGGGCATTCAAGACAGGAACAGTGTGAATCAGAAGGAAAGTGGTAAATTGCATGTAGTGAGGAAGACCCTGAGGGGATGACAGCAATGCCTTATGGATTCAAAGTTAACAAAAATAGACTGTGACCAAGACCAGGACTTTCATTTCCCATTTCTTCCAACCCAGAGCCTTTCATTAATACTATCAGATCAAGACATCAGAGCCCCTACCCATTCACTCCTAGACAGCCATCCAGAATGGCAACAAGTAGAATTCAGAAGGCTTCTGATCTGAGAACTTTAGTTTGGCCAAGAATCGTTTTGTTGCCTATAAAAGAAACCCACTTTTTAAGTAAAAAGGGTTTATCAAAATAACACAAGAGGATCCTATGAGGTCCAATTGTAGATTACTATAGCCAGGCCTTATGGGACCTGGAAGGTCATCAGGTACCTATTCACTCCATCTAACTCTCTGAACCACATGGCTTCTTTCTGCACATACATCTGCTTCATTCTTTTCTTCCTGTATACCAGCTTGGCCATTCTTGCCCTATACATAACATGGCCATTGCATGGACTCTGTCCCTACCTCTTCATGAGTATAGTGTCTCTGTGCCCTAGTTAGTTTTTGTGACACATTTTAAATTATAGGGAGAACTCTTCATTGACCACCAGCCAGCTGATGGAGCTATATGTTTTCTAAAATTCCTCCACTTATCAGAGGCCAATAGAACTTGTAGTACTCAGTTCTGTCCTTTCAGGACTCTAAGTTGAATAGATTAAACTAGATATTAAATAGAAGAATTTACTTACAGCAAGCAAATCAACCACAGCCTTTGCTACAGGCTACTAGGACAGCTTAGATATCTTATGGATTCAAAAGATGCGTGAACTAACCATTTATGACATAGCTTTTAGAAGAAAAAATGCTCCAAGTCACAAATTGCAACAAATTTTTGGAGCAGAATCTACTTTTAAATTGGGGGCTATCCAACATGTTTAGTTGGTAGACACTGTGTGAACAAACATGTTGGTTTAGTTGGTAGACACTGTATGAAGAAACTGGTCAGACTGTGTCTCAACTTGATTCTACAAGGTTATACTTGCATACCACAAAATCTCTAACACACTTTAACACAAACACATGCCCTTTATGTGGAGAATAAAGGCCAATCACTTAGAAAATAATTTAAGAATGTTAGATGACTGGCTTAGAACATCAGTCCCCACTCTTTTTGATACCAGGGACCGGTTTCATGGAAGACAATTTTTACACGGACCAGGGTGGGGGAATGGTTTCAGGATCATTCAAGCACATTACATTTATTGTATACTTTATTTCTATTATTATTACATTGTAACATATAATGAAATAATTATGAAACTCACCAGAATGTAAATCAGTGAGAACCCTAAGCCTGTTTTCCTGCAGCTAGACAGTCCCATCTGGGGGTGATGGAAGATAGTGACAGATCATCAGCCACTAAATTCTCATAAGGAGTGCTCAACTTATACCCTTTGCATGTGCAGTTCACAATAGGGTTCATGCTTCTTTGAGAATCGAATGCTGCCATTGATCTGACAGGAGGTGGAGCTCAGATGGTAATGCAAGTGATGGGGAGCGGCTATAAATACAGATGAAGCTTCACTTGCTCACCCGCTGCTCAATTCCCGCTGTGTGGCCCAGTTCCCAACAGGCCATGTACTGATGCTGGTCCATGATCTGGGGGTTGGGAACCCCCAATTTAGAAGAAAGTGGGGTGGCCAATCTCCCTCCATGCCATTAGAGAGAACTTCAAAAGGAGGTAACAAACTTTCGTTTGATGTCAATCACATGTCACAAACTGTACCAAGTGTTGGACATGCATTTTCTTCCTTAATCCTCATAAAATCCTAAGAGGAGAACATTATTAATCCCATTATCCAGACAAAGGAACCGAGGCTCAACAAGGACAACTAACTTGTACGAAGTTTCAACAGCTTTGACAAAACCAATATTCAAAGCAGGGTCCATCAGACTCCAAAGCACATGCTCACTCATTTCCCCCTTGACTCTAGTCAGCATAGTGGTTGTGGGCACGGACTCTGAAGCTGACCTACTGGATTGCTAACCAGTCCTATGACAGGGTACAAGGAAACCTGCACCTCAGTGTTTTCAGTAAAATAAGAGTTATTTAGAACATAGTCCCAAAAGCTGTTAGAAGGGTTGAGTTAACATATGTGAAGTGCTTTAAAAAAAAATCCTGCCACATCTTAAGCTCTTCACCATTCACTTTGGTATATCCAGCTGGATTTCTGATTTAAGGGCCAGCAACTTAGATTTGCTCTTGAAGTCCAGATATCTTCAGTTGAACTAATCAAAGTCTCTTGCCATACCCTATTTGCTCTAATAATGAGATTTGGAGCAATTCTATTTTGTGGCTCATTACTATGCAGAATTTTACATAATTCAGATGATCTTCTTGCTTTTTCATAAGCCTTTGTTGATAAGCAATCCGATAAAGAGATTGGTGGCCAGTTATGTACATGTACACAAACATTTATGCGTAGAAGCAAAAAATGCATCAAAGCTATTGTTATTACTACCCCCATATTGTTTTGTATACTATGATCCGTGAGTAGACGATTACTACTGTGAAGAGGGAAAAGTCATTTGCCTTGATCTGATTACAAGCACACAATAGTATTTGCAAACTACAAGATGTATCTAAATATCAAAGGAATGTAAAGAAATCAAGGTGAATATACTTATCTAAGGAAACACACTGAAACCCTGTCAGCACAGACAGTTTAGAATGAGGGTGGACCAAATACCAAAGGAGAAGTAGAAGAAGGAATAAAATATGCTATCAGAGTAATCTTCAGTGCTGGCCCTAGGGGGATAAACTAAGTAACCTAATAGGTGTTTTCCATCTTTGAATTCTATGACTAGAATAGCAATGAAGGTTTTAGCTCAGAATTGGGATGCTACAGACAACTGAGGAGGTCTGCAGAAAGAAGCTTTTATATTACCTACCCACACCATGTCTGGCTTAAACTAGTGCTGACTGATTTCTATTTTCGTAAGTGCTCACCCACCATAACAATGTTTTTACACACTGTGTGCAATCATCATGCACACATGCATACAATTAGGGCTCGAGATACATGAGCATTTGTGTATAGAAAGATTTTGAAAAGTAACGTTCATCTCTGATGCATTGGTTCTCTGATTTACATTCAATATGTAGAGAATGAAAGCATATTTCTTTTAAAAGGGAAAGGAGAAAAAACAGTAGCTGATGTAGGTTGGAATTTAGGGGTCAAATATTAATTCAGTGACTATTTCAATAAATGAGTATTATACTTGTAACTTGCAATGTTTATCTAAAATGATAGTGTGTGTTGAGGGAAAGAAGAGGTGGGGGTAGGGAGAGAAAGCTATAACTTCCTTTAGACTTCATTATCAACATCACTTGGCCTACGTATTAAAATTATTATGATTATGTCTTTAAAGGTAAAAATGTGCTCATACTGATCACATTAACTTCCTTATGGTGGTAATGAGTTTGAATTACAATGTGAAAACATTGAAACTAAATAACTACTAATGTTCTTCCAAAGATTATTAAGAACAGAAGATTTCTCCAGATGGTCTAGAAATTATACCGTTAAATCATAGTTAAATAATGTATGGGTCAAATTCCACGATCTTAAGTTCAATAAAAGTGTATTTTCTGTTATGCTACTTTTCATATAATATTATATGGGTTGATTAATATAATATTAAATGGGCAGATCTCATAATATAAAGTGAATAGATTATAACCTGGGGCTTTTTCATCTTTTGCAAACAGGTATTTGTTGAAATGGAATCTGACCCATACAAACAAATTTATCTGTATGAGTGCGAATCTGATATGGCAGAAACCCTTTCAAAACTCCATGCCACATGTTTTTTTCATTACTAAAGACTTTTCAAGGATATGCACTAAGTGCATGTAAAAGTTATTTTCATTGAATAAGGCATTAAATTCTAACATATGAATCTCAAAATGCAGTAAATTATTATAAAATACGAACTCAAAGTATTACATTTAAAGGAACTCATTGTAAAATGTATGGGTGCATGGAAAAATACCTGAATGACTATTTCAGCATTTAATTCCCTCAGGCTAGATTCCTTCATTTGCAGGAAATGATTATTATATATTCAGCCTTTTCACTTTTTCTACCCCTATTGTAGTGTAGTGACATTAAAAATAACTTTCTTGATTAGAGTCTGCCACCTTGGATTTTTCCCCAAGTTAAGATGCTTGAGTTTACAAAAAAGTCTTAAGTTTTTATTTTATGGAGACAATCATGGTACAACTTATAACTAGATAACATCTCTTTTCAGGCAACAGCCAGATATTGTGTTTAGAGTTTGTGCAACCCTCATTCAGTCATACATTCTTTTTTTCAACTAATAGTTATTCATCATGCCAGACACTGTTCTGAGTGTTTCATGTGGCTAAAGATGGAAGAGCAGTCAAATAAGGAGGAGAGAAGAAACCCTACGTTCTTGAGGCAAGGTTCTGATTATACAGTACTTCCTTTGTTAACAATAATTGCTTGTTACCTTATGATGCTATCCTTTAATTAGAGATGCCAATACAGGAAAATGTTAACTAGGTCTCACACCTATTATCAAATGTAAGATATGTCAAAATTACGAGCAGTTGTAGAAACACACACTCATAATAATAATGATAATAATATTATAATAACATCTGTCATGAATTACTGCTTAGCATGTGTCTGACACCATGGAAAGAAAACACTTTACATTTAACCATAAGACTATCAGTTTTCTTTGGGCAGGAATCACGTATGTATCTCATTCATGGTAACATCTTCAGAATCCTGCAAATTGTAAATATTCAAAAATATCTTTGTCAAAGGAATACATAGACGAATGAATCAATTATCTCATTGAGTGACCAAGACATATGAATTATTACCCCTTTTTACAGATGAGTAAACTTAGTTAGACAGATGAAGTATTCATGGCTAAACTAGGATCTAAATCCAGTTCTGATTGACTCCAATGTCTGTGGTTATAACTACTCTGCCCCCAAAACTTCTAGCATTGTGGGTCCCAAATCTCACTTCCTCATTAAATCAAACATATTCTTAGTTAAAATAAGCATAGAATTATCTTTCATTTGGTAAGTATTTTAGTTCACCTATTATGTTTTTAATTTCTCATACCATACCTATAAGCACCTAATTCACTCATTATTCTGAACACTCATAATTATCTTTCAAAATAAATGTTCCTTAAAACAACTCCTCTCCCTCTCACACCTAAAATTCAATGGTTGCATTGCCAAGAGGGTGGAAGCCTCTCAGGGATGCACATATGGTTTCAGTAATCCAAATCACCTTTTTATGTCTTGAAACCTGGTATAGTGAAAATAACAGGAGCTCTGGATAAGGCAAACCTGAGCTCGAGGTCTCACTACCCTACTTAACCAGCTGTGTGACTTTGAGGGTTTAAATACTGAAAGCCTCAATTCTTTAAATGTAAAATGGGAACAACTGGAAGAAATAATGATATAATATCTGCAAAGTTCCTAGCACAAGTAGCATAGAAGAGACTTAATCAATAAGAAACCTGATAAAAGTATGAGAGCAACTGAAATTTCCAGAAGCAGACTGAAAATCCTTATGTCTGGTAGTTATGCCACTCCTGGAGAACCTCACCAAGAAGGCAGGCAGAAATGTTCATCTGGGTGACTTCTGGAATGGCACCTGCTTCTTGCCCTGGTTTACTGGTGAGTCAAACTCATGCTTTTCTCCAGAGACGGTACTTAAAGGAATGGTTCCTCAGGATAAACAGTGAAAAGGGAGTTTTGTCGAAGGCTTTTTCTGCATCTATTGACATAATTATGTGGTTTTTGTTGTTGATTGTGTTTATGTGATGGATTCTGTTTATTCATTTGTGTATGTTGAACCAGCCTTGCATCCCAGGGATGAAGCCGACTTGATTGTGGTAGATAAGCTTTTCAATAGCCCTTCATGCTAAAAACTCTAAATAAACTGGGTATTGATGGAATGTATCTCAAAATAATAAGAGCTATTTATCACAAACCCACAGTCATTATCATACTGAATGGGCAAAAACTGACAGCATTCTCTTTGAAAACTGGCACAAGACAGGGATGTCCTCTCTCACCACTCCTATTCAACATAGTGTTGGAAGTTCTGGCCAGGGCAATCAGGCAAGAGAAAGAAATAAAGGGTATTCGATTAGGAAAAGAGGAAGTCAAATTGTCCCTGTTTGCAGATGACATGATTGTATATTTAGAAAACCCCATCACCTCAGCCCAAAATCTCCTGAAGCTGATAAGCAACTTCAGCAAAGTCTCAGGATACAAAATCAATGTGCAAAAATCACAAGCTTCCTATACACCAATAACAGACAAACAGAGAGCTAAATCATGAGTGAACTCCATTCACAATTGCTACAAAGAGAATAAAATACCTAGGAATCCAACTTACAAGGGATGTGAAGGACCTCTTCAGGGAGAACTACAAACCACTGCTCAACAAAATAAAAGAGGACACAAACAAATGGAAAAACATTCCATGCTCACGGATAGAAAGAATCAATATCGTGAAAATGGCCATACTGCCCAAGGTAATTTATAGATTCAATGCCATCCCCATCAAGCTACCAATGACTTTCTTCACAATATTGGAAGAAACTACTTTAAAGTTCACATGGAACCAAAAAAGAGCTTGCATCGCCAAGACAATCCTAAGCCAAAAGAACAAAGCTGGAGGCATCATGCTACCTGACTTCAAACTATGTTACAAGGCTACGGTTACCAAAACAGCATGGTACTGATACCAAAACAGCATGGTACTGGTACCAAAACAGAGATATAGACAAATGGAATGGAACAGAGGCCTCAGAAATAACACCACACATCTACAACCATCTGATCTTTGACAAACCTGACAAAAAGAAGAAATGGGGAGAGGATTCCCTATTTAATAAATGGTGCTGGGAAAACTGGCTAGCCATATGAAGAAAGCTGAAACTGGATCCCTTCCTTACACCTTACACAAAAATTAATTCAAGATGGATTAAAGACTTAAATGTTTAGACCTAAAACCATAAAAACCCTAGAAGAAAACCTAGGCAATACCATTCAGGACATAGGCATGGGCAAGGACTTCATGACTAAAACACCAAAAACAATGGCAACAAAGCCAAAATAGATAAATGGGATCTAATTAAACTAAAGAGCTTCTGCACAGCAAAAGAAACTACCATCAGAGTGAACAGCCAACCTACAGAATGGGAGAAAATTTTTGCAATCTACCCATCTGACAAAGGGCTACGATTCAGAATCTACAAAGAACTTAAACAAATTTTCAAGAAAAAAACAACCCCATCAAAAAGTGGGCAAAGGATATGAACAGACACTTCTCAAAAGAAGACATTTAGGCAGCCAACAGACACATGAAGAAATGCTTATCATCACTGGTCATCAGAGAAATACAAATCAAAACCACAATGAGATACCATCTCATGCCAGTTAGAATGGTGATCATTAAAAAGTCAGGAAACAACAGGTGCTGGAGAGGATGTGGAGAAATACGAACGCTTTTACACTGTTGATGGGAGTGTAAACTAGTTCAATCATTGTGGAAGTCAGTGTGGCGATTCTCAAGGATCTAGAGATACCAGAAATACCATTTGACCCAGCCATCCCATTACTGGGTATATACCCAAAGGATTATAAATCATGCTACTATAAAGACACATGCACACATATGTTTACTGTGGCACTATTCACAATAGCAAAGTCTTGGAACCAATCAAAATGTTCATCAATGATAGACTGGATTAAGAAAATGTGGCACATATACCATGGAATACTATGTAGCCATAAAAAAGGATGAGTCCATGTCCTTTGCAGGGACATGGATGCGGCTGGAAACCATCATTCTCCGCAAACTATCACAAGGAAAGAAAACCATACGTTGCATGTTCTCACTGATAGGTGGGAACTGAACAATGAGAACACTTGGACACAGGGCAGGGAACATCACACACCGGGGCCTGTCGTGGGGTCAGGGGCAGGGGGAGGGATAGCATTAGGAGAAATACCTAATGTAAATGACGAGTTAATGGGTACAGCAAGCCACCATGGCACATGTATAATATGTAACAAACCTGCACGTTGTGCACATGAACCCTAGAACTTAAAGCATAATAATAATTTTAAAAAAGGATGCACACATACACGAATAATAATAATTTTTAAAAAAGAGTGGAAAGGGAGAATTGCCTCCTGATGTTTCGCCTGAGTTTTAGACTTTGTGAGAAGCCAATGCCAGCTCAGGTGAAGGAAGTCTTGGAAGGAGAAACTAGTAGAGGAACTAAGGTTTGGAATGGGATGATCTCCAAGGTTTTATCCAGCAATTGCATTTTATGATTTTAACTACTGACAAATTGTAAAATCATTTAAATGATCTCACATGTCTTGTAAATGTATGAAGGCAGAACAGAACACCATGGTGTTGAGAGAAAGAGGGATTAAAAAAAACTTCACATCAGCCAGAGTGCAAAGCCTGTAATGCTGGAGAAATTATTTTAAATGGAGGTAGGAAACATAACCAAGTAGATTTCAGAAAGGGCATCGGTCTCTCCTCCCCGGCACCCCAAGAAGAATGCATTCGGTGCTCAGTAAATCTTCCAAAATATACATGAGTGCAGCCTCAGATGGAATATTCTAAAAGCATACAGGAAAAACATACTGAATACTTGATTTGTGGCTTTTACTGGAGAGTTATACAAAAACAAATAGAAAAAGTTTTCTACCCTCAAATATCTTGTGACTAAATGGGGAAGATAGCAATCAATATGGCAGACTAAATTGATCTCTAAATAGAGGTACAAATAATGTGTTATGAAAAAACAAAGATTCAAACTAAAACACTAGAAGAAAGTTCCATGAAAAATATGTTTTTAATTGAGATTTGAGGAATAAGCAGGATTCATAATGAGGAGAAAAAAAAGAAACATGGGAAAAAAATCTTCCCTAATTAAAAAAAAAAAAATAGACAAAAGCCATGAAAAAGTAATTTCCTCAAAATGCCATATAAATAACCGATAAACATTAGAAAGAAAGATTAACGTTGTTAATACTCAGAAAATGCAAATTAAAGTAATGTGAACTTTTTTTGTATAACATTGGCAAACACGGGGATTTTTTTTATAGTTCTTATGAGAGATCACGCAATATACATATCAAGGCCCTTAAAAATGTTAATATAACTTTACTCAGTAAATTCAAATCTAATAATTTATTCTAAGGGAAAGAAAAAATCAGGGGAAGTAATAAAGACATAGGTCAAGTCATTACTTACAAAGATAAAATATAATATTAATATAATAAAATATAATACATCCATTATATATATTTTAGAAGAATATGTAATGACATTATAAAATTTTCATAATGTACTCAATAAAAAAGGGTTCTAAATAAATATATATATATGCATGTATATATACAAAGTATGTATATGTACTTTGAAGCAAAGATCAGAAAATACATCTAAAGATATCATACTATTTCTGGATTGTGGGATTATGTGATTTTATTTTATATTTAATAATCTCTGTAATATCCAAAATTTATAGTCAGAAAAATAATGTTATCTTAATGTTATGTTAAGTAATATTATTTTAAATTTTAACATCATTTATAATGAGTTGGATTTAGACAAGTGAAGAATGGAAACTGTCATTTTAGCCTAAAGAACAGTATGAGTAGAGACAAAAAGACAAATTTGAAAGGCACTTTCAGAAAAGATAGAGTAGATGAGTAGGAAGGATGCAGGGTAAATGAAACTGGAAAAGTGGTTGGAATCAGATTATTGAAGATATTGAATGTCATGCTCATGAATTGGTCCTATGAGTAGTGGAGCTCTTCACACAGGGTGATCATTGGTTTGCTTTGTTTTGTTTTGCTTTGCTTTAGAGACAGGGTCTCATTTTGTCACTCAGACTGGAGTACAATGATGCAACCACAGCTCACTGCAGTCTTGAATTCCTGGCTCAAGCAATCCTCCCACCTCTGCCTCCCAAGTAGCTGGGACTATAGGTATACACCACCATGCCCAGCTAATTTTTAAATTATTTGTAGAGATGGGGGGGTGGGTCTTGCTATGTTGCCCAGGATGGTCTCAATGTCCTGCCTTCAAGCAACACTCCTGCCTCGACCTCCCAAACTGCTGAGATTATAAGCATGAACCACCGCACATGGCCCAATCCCATTGGTTTATAGAAATACTATCCAAGTGACCATTTGAGGTGTGGAGGATGGATCAAAGAGGGAAAACTACAAGCAGAAAGAATGTTGTTTATATATTCTAAACTAACAGTGTCCAAACTGTTTAGACCTTGACCCAGAGTAATGATATCTTTCATATTGTGACCCAATACACTCATACACACACACAAACCCATATTACCCTCACATGTGACTAACATAAAGGCTTCATTAAAAGCCTATACCCTTAACTTATGGCATCTACTCCAATACTTTCTATTCTGTTGTTTCCTATTTCTTTCCACTCTATAACATTACTTTTTTTTTTTCTTAAGTGCTGGTCACAGCCCACAAAAATGATTTCATGACACCTAATGTGACAGTACTACTCTGGGAAAAACCCAAGTCTTCCTTTTCTCTTCCCAACTCTACTCCTGAGTAGTAGACCAAGCTCTAGCGATGGATTGAGACCAAGAACCCGGAGCTGGGCCACGGTACTAGGAGCTGGCGCTTTCTGAGGAAGAAGCCAAGGGGGAAACATCTTTGATCCCATGTGGGAAAATATTTAGAGAGATCTTCTCCCTTGGCCTCACTTTCTTCCATGGAAGGCCTCTTGGTCCTATAAATTGTTTCCCATATAGCCAGTAAGATAAGACAGGCGTGGGTCTTGTCCTCACCTTCTGCCAACCTACCATACCCCAACAAGACCAACACAAAACCTTTGTAGGCCAACAAAATATTTTTAGCTGGCATATTATCCAATTTAATTCCTAATGTAGGAATTTGAAACAAAAGCCACATCAACTAGAAAAAGAGGTTAAATTGGTAGACTGTTGTTGACATACTTTTCCTTAGACACAATTTTGTAGGCCGTGGCTTTGGATGGAAGTCATGTTTCCATCTATCCTGGCAGAAAAGGATTCACTAGTCCCAGTAAGAGATAATCTGGGCTAAGTGAAGGATAGATCCAATAGACATATCTCTGATGGGATCAGCTGAATTTGAGCCTAGTTGAATTGGGGAGGGAAGGGAAGGAAGTGGTAAGGCAGAGGAGGGAGAAGAGAGAGAAAGAGAATACTCCTAGCATTTCCGCTTGGGAGACTGGGATTGAAACTGGGTGTATTGTGGCATCATCAATGGTGATAGGAAATATGGGAAGAGGAACAGATTTTATAGAGAAAATAATGAGTTCTGTTTTGGTAGAGGTCCAGATCAGAGATAATTTAAAGCACAAAGAAAAAGGCATTCCGTTTTTCCATCAAAGTGTTTCTATCTTTTACAGAAGAAAGCAGAATGTGAAGGTCAATTGAACCACGTGATGAATTGGTTAATTATTACACATTTCTGGATCTAGAGTGAACCAAGGTATAACCCCATTCACATGGCAAATGCAAACAACACCTATTATACATTTAACCAAGTTTTCTTGTTGACCGTTTCACTTACCTCTCTTAACAACACCTGGGAGATATCAGGGTCATTACCTCCATTTTGCAGATGAAAAGCCTGGACCCAAAGAGTTTAAGACTCTTGTTCAAAATCACATTTGGTCCCTGGTGGTTTGGTGGCTAGGGGAAAAAAAAAGCAAAATTACATTTTGGTCTGATGCATTTTGCCAGTGCCTGTTCTAGACAGCAGCCTGTCTTATTAAGTAGTGAGCCTGTAAATTTGATCTGATCATGAGAAGAGAGAGGAAATCTCTGGCTGAGGAGGTCCAAGTAGAAGAGTCATTTCTAAAAGGAATTTAGAATATTCCAGCAGCCAGGAGTAAAAGGCACGCCTTAGTCAGATGGTAAAATAGTATTAAACTGTGGAATAGAAGATCTAGGCCATTAGAGAAGGTTTCCATAATTTGATGCTAGTTATATTATGAAATATAGCTCAAATAAATTCAATCTTATGGCTTTATAATCACTCAGGAAAATCATTGCAGAAAGAGGATAGTAAGGGAATTAAAATGTTTTCTGCTTTGAAGATTGTTTTGTATTTTCTTAGGCAGAAAAGGGTTTTCAACAATTTTAAGGGTGTTAATGAGCATAAATCATGTATGTTTTAGCAATTCAGAAAGGCTAGTATGTATAAATTATTTTTTGTATTAACAAGAGTTTAATCTTTGTGATGTAACACAATTGAGTCAGATTCTCCCTTGCAGACTAGTGCAGTGGAAGGAGAACTTTGGATTTAGAGATATCAGGATTTTTATTCTGGTTCCACCACATACTAGTTTGGTAACTGCAACTGGGCAAGTCACAGCAGAATTTATCTGAGATCAGTTTCATCACCTGTTAAATAAAAATAACAATACCTACCTCATATAATAGGTGTAAGGATTAAGAGATAAAAATGCATATAAGGCTCTGAGTCCAATCCCTGACATAGCAGAAGTTCAATGAATAGTAGCTGTGATGGTGAAAGAGAATAAAGGAAAAAAAAAAACACACACACTATAAGCCAGCCTTGGAAAAATATAGTGATTTTATTTAGTTCATGAGGGTAAAATTCATTCTGGAGATTCCAAACTTTTAAACACAATATATACTTTAAAAATGTATGTTTGGTTCTAACATTCATATTTCGGGTGACCCTGGAAAAGATATCTTGTCTTCTTTGGTTCGGGTTTTGCAAAACACCAGGATAAAAAGACTTACCTCTGACCTTTCCAGAAATATAGTGAATATTTGCTTTTAAAAGATCAGTCATGGTTAGAATTTTACCATATTAGAAGTCAGTCCAGCTCTTGTCTTCAGAAAAACACATACATACAACCACACACAAACAACCAAACCATTTCAGGTAGATAAGAGGCAAGCCTTATCAGTCTAGGTTTTCAGAAACGATATGTGACCATCTTTCTAGGGAACTCATCAAGATACTTAGCCTTTTGCACTGTTGGGAATTTCTTCCTTAAATGTATGTAGAATGTCTATGTTTCAAGTGTATTTCATCATGTTCTAGCTTTAGCAGAGTTGGAGTACAATTGGTTACTACCCTCTGAATAAATAAATAAACTTTTCTCAATCCTGGAAGATTTATAACAGCTTCTTCTCACTCTTCTCTTCTCCAGGACAAATCATCCTGGTGCCTTTAACTTCTGCAGAGCATGCTGAAATGCCCTGACTCCATTAAAGTGCCTGGCACCCCATGGACCTTAATAAAATACTCTAGACAAACTGGCTAATGGGTTGACTTTTGCCATAGATCTTATTTGCCAAACTTCTAAACATGCTTGCATGCCTGGAGCTTTCCTGTCCAAGTTCAAATATAGTATAACACATCACAAGTGCTGAGAAGCAGGAAGCCCATCACTGAATCTGGCACCACAGTCCTGAATGGAAAATACCATTTGTTTCCTTGGCAATCTGTCCTTGGTAACTAGAAAAAGTGGGGAGCAAAGGGTTAATGCTACTGTAGAAGCGCCACACTCACCAATTCTCAGAGGAGGGGATAGGGTGGTAAATTCTACTAAGAGAGAGTGACTGGAAACAGGTTAAATTCCTGGTGCCGTTCAGCAGGAAGTTGGAGAAAAGCTCTAAAGGTCTAATGGCCTCATTAAGGGCTTCTTCTGCTCCACAACAAATTTATAATCAGAAGTTGTCCTGCAAGAAGAAAAGGGAAGGACAAGTGGGAAAGACACTTCCGCATTGAGAATTGGCTAGCACAAAGGATGGAAGGCAGAAGACCTTTCCAACATGTTAAAAGCCAAAAGAGTACCTTTTAGTGTTTGTTTTGATTATATTTGCCTGTAACCCAGCAACTGGGCCCAGATGCCAGCAGCCCGAAGAGAACACTGCTGATGACCGGTGTCCAAAAAGAAAAAAAATTCCTTTTGTTTTCTAACTTTTATGGTTCTTCTCAAGGTGAGTGAAAAGAGCTGGTCAGGGCCCTTTGAAGCTGTTTAGAACCCTTACTCATTTTTCTAACAATAGTCAGAATGATTTATAATGCCACATGTTCTCATTGGTGGTTTCCTCTTTTTTATTTTTGAAGACAAGACACAAGTGGGAAATGTGAATCTTGAGCCAGAGTTAAGATGATCTTTTAAAGCAACTGAATGCATTTTCCAGTCACTCTACCCCCAACTTGAGGTTTTCCTCCCTGAATCACTGAGTTCTCCCTGCTACAAAGGCAATATTCATATGTTCAGTGTCATTACAAATGCTTGGATTTCAAGAGCTACATGTTGCTAGATATTTTAAGTCGTTTGTGCTTTATACATTCTCCCCCTCTGTACCGAAAAGCAAAACTAGTGTATCCAATGTATGAAATTCATCAGATATATTACAAATCACACCAAAATGATCCCAGGCAGACAGCATTCTATTATGTCAAAAGATATATCACAACAAAAGAAGACTACAAAACTAACTCATTCTTTATCATCTTTGCAACCAAGCAGGTCTTTATTCAATTCAAGATAAATCCCTCCCCTTTTAGTGTGTATTTATTTTATTTTGTTCTTAACTCTACAGAAATAAAGTGTGTGTGTGTGTGTGTGTGTGTGTGTGTGTGTGTGTGTTGGTGGTAGTGATGGTTTGGTTTTGGTTAACCATTACCACTCAGGCATTTGAATATCAGTATTAATGCAATCCTTAACCTCTTCATTTCTAGATGAATTAACCCAAATTTTTATAATTACCCTCCCTCCACCAACGTCCCCACGAATCTTATTTGGTATGTTAGAAAATAACTTCGATGGCACATGTATACATATGTAACTAACCTGCACATTGTGCACATGTACCCTAAAACTTAGAGTATAATAATAATAAAATAAAATAAAAGTATTTAAACTAAAAAGAAAAAAAGAAAATAACTTCAAATTAAAATTTTTCATTATTTCTTACCCAAAGACTCCTAGAATTTCCTATGATGTGTTGGTTTAAATGGAAAAAATTACAAGTAAATTTTATTTGGCTTTTATTTGTGTCATTTCTGATTTACTTGAGCAGTGTTTTTAATTCTCATTATAGAGATCTTTGACCTCCCTGGTTACCTGTATTCCTAGGTATTTTATTCTTTTTGTGGCCATTGTGAATGAGATTGCATTCCGCATTTGGATCTCAACTTGGATGTCGCTGGTGTATAGGAATGCTACTGATTTTTGTACAACTTTGCTGAAGCTGTTTATCAGATCAAGGAGTTTTGGGGCAGAGACTGTGGGGTTTTCTAGATATAGAAACATGTCATCTGCAAACAGGGATACTTTGACTTTCTTTCTTCTTATTTGGATGCCTTTTTATTCCCCTCTTGCCTGATTGCTCTGACCAGGACTTCCAGCACTACATTGAATAGGAATGGTGATAGACGGCATACTTCTCTTGCTCTGATTTTCAAGGGTAATGCTTCCAGCTTTTACCCATTCAGTATAATATTGGCTGTGGGTTTGTCACAGATAGTTGTTATTATTTTGAAGTATGTTCCAATAATGCCAAGTTTGTTGAGGGTTTTTAACATGAAGGAGTGTTGAATTTTATTAAAAGCCTTTTCTGCATATATTGAGATAATCATGTGGTTTTTGTTTTTAGTTTTGTTTGTGTGATGAATCATATTTATTGATTTCTGTATGTTGAACCAACCTTGCATCACAGGGATAAAGCCTACTTGATCGTAGTGGATTAGCTTTTTGATGTGCTGCTGGATTTTGTTTGCTAGTATTTTGTTGAGGATTTTTGCATCAATGTTTATCAAGGATATTGGCCTGAAGTTTTCTTTTTTTGTTGTGTCTCTACCAGGTTTTGGTATCAGAATGATACTGGCCTCAGATAATGAGTTGAGGAGGAGTCCCTCCTCAATTTGGTGGAATAGTTTCAGTAGAAATGTTATCAGATCTTCTTTATACATCTGGTAGAATTCAGCTGTGAATCTGTCTGGGTCTGGGCTTTCTTTTTTATTGGTAGGCTTTTTGTTACTGATCGATTCAATTTCAGAGCTTGTTATTGGCCTGTTCAGGAATTCATTTTTTTCCTGGTTCAGTCTTGGGAAGTCATATGTGTCTAAATATTTATCCATTTCTTCTAGATTTTCTAGTTTGTATTCATAGTAGTCTTTGACGGTGTTTTGTATTTCTGTGGGGTCAGTGGTAATGTCCCTTTTGTCATTTCTAATTGTGTTTATTTGGATCTTCTCTCTTTTTTTCTTTATTAGTTTAGCTACTGGTATATCTATATATTAATTTTTTAAAAGAACAATTCCTGGACTCATTCATCTTTTGTATGGTTTTTTTGTGTGTGTGTCTCAATTTCTTTCAGTTCAGCTCTGATTTTGGTGACTTCTGAATAATCAATATCATTAAGATGCTCATACTGCCCAAAGCAATTTACAGATTTAATGCTATTCTTATCAAACTAACAATGACATTCTTCACAGAATTAGAAAAAACTATTCTAAAATTCATATGGAACCAAAAAAGAGCTTAAATATCCAAGGCAATCCTAAGCAAAAAGAACAAAACTGGAGGCATCACATTACCCAACTTCAAACTATACTGTAAGGCGACAGTAACCAAAACAGCATGGTACTGGTACAAAAACAGGCACAAAGACCAACGGAACAGAATAGATCGCCCAAAAATAATGCTGCACTCCTACAGCCATCTGATCTTTGACAAAGCTGACAAAAATAAGCAATGAAGAAAGGACTCCCTGATCAATAAATGGTGCTGGAATAATTGGCTAGCCATATGCAGAAGACTGAAACTGAACCCCCTTCCTTATGCTGTTCAATAAATGGTGCTGGAATAATTGGCTAGCCATAGCAGAAGATTGAAACTGAACCCCTTCCTTATGCCATATACAAAAATCAACTCAAGATAGATTAAAGACTGAAGTGTAAAGTCTAAAACTATAAAAACCCTGGAAGATAACCTAGGAAATATCATTCTGGACATAGGACCTGGCAAAGGTTTTACGACAAAGTCGCCAAAAGCAACTCCAAAATAGAAATTGACAAATGAGACCTAATTAAACTAAAGAGCTTCTGCACAGCAAAAGAAACTATCAACAGAGTAAACAGACAATCTATGGAATGGGAGAAAATATTTGCAAACTCTGCATCCAACAAAGATCTAATATCCAGAATCTGTAAGGAACTTAGACAAATTTACAAGCAAAACCAAACAACCCCATTAAAAAGTGGGCAAAGGACATAAACAGGTACATTTCTTTTTCCTTCTTTCCTTTCTTTCCCTTCTTTTCCCTCTTTCTTTCTCTCTCTCTTTCCTTTCTTTCCTTTCTTTCTTTCCTTCCTTCCCTCCTTCCATCCCTCCCTCCCTCTCTCTTTCTCTCTTTCTTTCTGAGATGAGGTTTCACCATGTTGGCCAGGCTGGTCTTAAACTCCTGACCTCAGGTGATCCACTCACCTCAGCCTCCCAAAATGCTGGGATTACAGGTGTGAGCCACTGTACCTGGCCTGAACAGGCACTTTTCAAAAGACACGTATGCAGCTAACAGGCATATGAAAAAGTGTTCAACATCGCTAATCATTAGAGAAATGCAAGTCAAAACCACATTGAGATAGTATCTCACACCAGTCAGATTGGCTATTATTAAGAAGTCAAGGCCTGGAGTGGTGGCTCACAGCTTTAATCCCAGCACTTTGGGAGGCCGAGGCAGGCAGATCACCTGAGGTCAGGAGTTTGAGACCAGCCTGGCCAACATGGTAAAACCCCATCTCTACTAAAAATACAAAAATTAGCAGGGTGTGGTGGCGGGTGTCTGTAGTCCCAGCTACTTGGGAGGCTGAGGCAGGAGGATTGCTTGAACCTGGGTGGTGGAAGTTGCAGTGAGTTGAGATCCTGCTGCTGCACTCCAGCCTGGGCAACAGAATAAGACTCCATCTCAAAAAATAAAATAAAATAAAATAAAAATTCAAAAAGTAACAGATCCTAGAGAGACTGTGGAGAAAAGGTAGCATTTATACACTGCCGGTGGGACTGTAAATTAGCTCAGCCATTGTGGAAAACAGTGTTCACTTCCTCAAAGAACTTGAAACAGAATTACCATTCCACCCAGCAATCCCATTATTGGGTATATACCCAAAAGAATATAAATTGCTCTACCATAAAGACATATGCACATATATGTTCATTGCAGCTGTATTCACAATAGCAAAGACACTAATCAACCTAAATGTCCATCAACAGTAGATGAGATTTTTTAAAATGTGGTACATACATACAATGGAATATTATGTAGCCATAAAAAAGGATGAGATCATGTCCTTTGAAGCAACATAGATGGAGCTAGAGGACATTATCCTAAGCAAACTAACATAGGAACAGAAAACCAAATACCACACATTCTCACTTATAAGTGGTAGCTAAACAGTAAGAACACATAGACACAAAGAGGAAAACAACAGGCACTGGGGCCTACTTGACGGTGGATGGTGGGAGGAGAAAGAAGATAAGAAAAAATACCTATTGAGTACTATGCTTATTACCTGGGTAATAAAATAATCTGTACATCAAACCCCCGTGACACACAGTTTACCCATATAACCTGCATATGTACCCCGAACCTAAAATAAAAGTCATAATAAAAAAATACAGAAAAAAAATACACTAAAAAGTTTTTTATTTGGCTGACTAATTCGGTGAATGGGATTTTCAGATTAATCAAACATTCTCCATATATTTGATATTTTAAAAATTTGAAATACATTTAACAACAAAACTCTGTGCTACAGAATTTAACCTGTCTGATGACTCAGATGACATTTTAGAATCCTGCATTGCTTCAGTACCAGTTTTCAAGAGTTCACTATGCAACTTCACACTGGTAGCCTGAAATCAGCCAGGATGGGAGTCTTTATAACACAGAAAGCAGTAAATTCTACAATGAGAATGAGTTGTTAAACATTTACCAGCACACCACTAACTTCTAGATCATTATTACAGGTTTAATTATAAATTTCCTATACAAGTCACATTCTAAAATGTACACCCTCAAATATGTAGCAGCATAATAGATCGGAGAATGAATGAATAACCAAAGTCTGAGTTTTACTAATGCTTAAAGTTGCAAAAATTCAACCTGATTTTAATTTTCTTTGCTAATCATTTTCTGAATTTTTAGAACAAAAAAAAATCTACCTTAAAAGTGAGCGAAACAATAAAACATGCTGAAATGGCAGAATATTTTAAGTCTTGTTTAAAAGGTTAGAAGAAGTTTACTGTTTCCCTATGATTCCTTTATAATTGAATATTCAATCCTTGAAAAATCAATAAGTAAAAAACATGAACCTCAATAGAAATTTTGGTGAAAAACTACATGTCTAAATTATTCTGTTTTAGATGAAAAAATACATGTCTAAATTCTTCCATTCCAAAAAAATGTAAACAATCATTTTTCTCACAGGATATCCAACAAATGCATTCTTATTATTCAGTTTCCTCATTTTTAACATGTATTTAGTTTTGAAAAAATTTATATATTGTAAAAGAAAAAGAAAAATCAAAATAATAAAGTTCTATTTTATCTACAAGATTGGCAAAGCTTAATTTCTTAATAAAAACATTCAATGTTGGTGCAAGTATGGAGAAATAAACATTCTCACACTGTTAGTGAGAGAGCAAAATATCAAAACTTTCTGGAGAAGTTGGCAATGTCTGTCATAAGCCTTAGATACATGTATATCCTATAACCCAGAAATTATCACTCCAGAATTTATCACAAGAAAGTAACTAGAGTTTGGCAACAGCCAACTATTCAACAACATTAGATTGCTAAAGTAATTAGATCATTAGTTTTCCATTACAGTAGCTACGTTGTGTTGAGTAGTTCATATAGCAGTTCAGTTTATGCAAATAAAGGATAAGAAATAAGTCTGATGTCAACAATTTTAAGGAACGAATTCAAGGCACAGCTAAGACTAGGGTAGAGTCAATTCATCACCCCAGATTCTTCTCATAAAAAATCAATATAATTCATCTTGACTGAGAACCTTCATTATCAAGAACAAAGCAAATTGTAATTGTGTTGCTCTGTTTACGAAGGCAGAAAATCATGCCTTGGGTCCTAAAGGTTCTTAATTCTACTTTTCACACACTATATACAGTTTTTCCTTCACAATGCTTCCAATAAGTATGTTTGTCACTCTTTTAATGTATTTTTATTAATCATTTGTATAGATATTGCCATGGCCATAGATGATGCTGTCACCATCTCTTACCCATCACTGCAGTAGCCTCCTAACTCATCTGTATTGCCCTTGGAACTCCACAATACAACATCAGCCACTTACCCCGCATGAAAGCTCAATCCTTAATACAGCCTACACACTCCAGTTTATATGGTTGGCCCCTAAATAGCTCTTGGCTTTCTCGTTCTCCATTTCTCACTTGAGTCCAGCATCCTTTCTTCAGCTTCTCCAGGACACCTTGCACAAGTTCTTTGCACAAACCATTCCTTGAGTTCCTTCTCACTGCCCTCTCCAACCACTACTGCCTTCATCCCCCAGTTAATTTTTTTAAAAACTTTTTTCAGATCTCTTGTCCTTGGTTGTTTTTTTCTCAAAGAAACCTTCCTTGATCTCTCTATTACAAGCTCCCATGAACATTCCCTTCAAGGTCCCTGCTAACCCACCTTTGTGGGAATTTCAAAAAGGTGTCCCTTCTTCTAATGTTTCCTGCAAGAAACTCAGCAGGGAGAGCTCTGACTGGTGTTCAGGCATCATTTACACGTTGGTCTGGTGTTTTAGGTGAGGCACAGTCTGAACCACTGTAGTGGCCCTACCATCCTTCACGTGTATCACAGCTGCAATTTAACAATTTTCATAGGGAATCATTTCTCTAACTCCAGCCTCTTTCCACTGTACCTTATTAGACGCTGACCTCCAGAGTTCTGTGATATTGTCTGGACTTGATTACCATTGTATTCTCATTGTCTAGGACATTGTCTGACACAAAACAAGTACTTAATAAGTCTTTACACATCAATGAATAAATCTAATCTTTCTTTTTGTCACTGTTATTTTCCTTTCCTCCACTTACCCTTTCTATTTCCATCCTGTTGATAATCCATACACAAAGATCATTAAAACTTTCTAAGAAGTCTCCACAGGTGGCTATTTGCACCAAAATTACACCAGTAATGGAGACACATTGAGGTCCTCAACAAATGGAAACAATCATTATTTTCACAGGATATCCAACAAATTCATTCTTATTATTCAGAGTTTCTTCATTTTTAACATGTGTTTAATTTTTGTTCTTTTCTGCATGTTAAATGTGCAACCTATGGGGATATTTAGAAATAGTGGGATGTAAAGAAACGTGTAGTATATCTGATGGTGCTAACAGAGATGAATGGTGTGTCTATATTTGTGCATTTAGGTGTGTGTGTGTTTGTATGTGAGGTGGGCGTGATAGAGAGGTGAGGGAAAGAATCACTAAGATCTCAGTTCTGCTTGGCAAATAATTACAAAGCATTTCTGAACTACCCAAAAAGGGAAAGATAGGATTTACAAAAGAAAGGACCATGTCAAAACCATGCTAAGGTAAAGGAACATATTAACGAATAAAGTTAAACAATCATGTACCAACTGTACTTGATATTGAAAAGAGATTTGTGAAAGGCTAGAATCTGGTCTTAATCCCAGCAGATTTCAATCAAGTATCAAAAAGAAGACCTATGTGTTTATAAACTTTAAATATTTTATAATTTCCAAAATAATTTATCAGATTAAAAATGAAACATTAACTAATCAAGATAGGTGGAGAACATATAAGGCAATGAGCACATATGGGTTTGGGTAGAGAAGATTAAAGGATGAGACTCTGTGTCTTGGGCTAATTGTATAGATGCAAAACTGGTATTATTGCTCCTTCCTCTATTTCTCTTGGTTTTCTAAAAGTAGCAAATGGCTGGATGGAAATATTTAGGAAGAAGGGGCTGTTCATGAACAGAACAAGAATTCTGATTTTTTTCTGCTCCTAAATCCAAATTCTACTAGAAATACAATGTACTCAGAGAAAATTAGAATGTTCATAGAAAAGTAACCAGGTTAGGGAAAGAAAACCCACAAAAATGATATTGGCTTAAAAGTGCTTTTAGATATGTATATAACCTTATAAAATCAATTTAACTAAACATTCTAATAGACATTCCCCATTGCGCATTGAAATGTGAGTTGACAGGAAACCTTGGGAGATTAACAAAAATAGTGAAAAACAAGTCTTGTGTCTCATTAAACAAATCTTTTATGCTTTCAAAGTCAACTAAGATCATGTTGTACTCGAATGAAAGAGAGATTAAAGATCTTGTAGGTTAACATCTCCTGACCTGTGGCTGGTTTATTATATCACTCACAATATATGTGTTGGGTTTCTGATTTGAACCAGAAACTATGGTGGGTGTTGGGCATACAACAGGAAATAAATCAGAGTCTCTGATCTCAAAGAACCCATATTCTTATTGAGGGAGAAAGGCAATATCCAAATAAAGAAATCTGTAATATGTTTGATAATGCTAACAAAGCTGTACAGTGTGTGTATGTGTGCACTCAGGTGTGTGTGTATTGACATGTGAGGTGAGTGTGATAAAGTAGTGAGAGAAAGCATCTCAATAAGTTGATATTTGAGTAGAGACCTAGTTGAAGAGAGAATGCCCCTGAAGGTAGATGATTGCAGAGAATGCCAAAGAAGGGAACAGCAGGTGCAAACAATGAAGTAAAAAAAGGAGGCCACTAAGGCTGAAGCAGTCTGAGCAAGAAGGGGAATAGCAGGAGCAACAGTCTAAGGAGTAGTGAAGACAAGGTCATATCAGGCCCTACAGTCCAAGATAATCCAATATATACTGGATGTTATACTGTACAAGTTATGATGCCATACCATATCAGTTACTTGCTCTGACTTAATGTCTTAAAAAGGCCACTCAGAATTAAATTTAAGTAGTCAAGGGTAGAAGCAGAGAAGTCAATCGGAAGGTTATTGAAATCACCAGTCAAGACATAAGGGTGTCTTGGCTCACTCAGATCAGTAATAGAGGAAGTAAAGGGTAGCTAGACTGAGAATGTATTTTGAAGTAAAGGGATATGATTTGATTATTAATTGAATATTGAGCATGATACAGTAAGAAATTAGGAATGATTCTGAGATTTTTTTAATTTTTAAAAAAATGTTTGTGAGTATATAGTAGGTGTATCTATTTTGGGCGTACGTGAGATGTGACTCTGAGGTTTTAAAAAAATAGAACTGCCATTTGCTGTTAGAGAAAACTGGGGAAGTGAAAATCAAGGATTCCGTTCTGGATATGTTCAGTTGATGCCTATTAGACATTCAAGCAGATATGTTGCATAGCGCTTATAAGGGTTCTGGAATTTAGGAGAGACGTTCAGGCTGGAGGTGTAAATTTGGGGGTCATTTTATATTTATGGAACTTAAAATACATGACTGGGTGAAATTACATCGGAAGAGAGTTTAGATAGCCAAGAGAAGGAGTCTGGGGACTGAGCTTAGATTTTCTCCTACAAATAGAGCTAGAAAAATGAGGAGGTTCCAGCAAAGGACACTGAGAGAGTATGGCTTGTGAGATTGGAGGAGAACCAAGAGCTCAGTCTTGGAGGCCAAATGAAGAACATGTTCACAGAGGAAGCAGTTGAGTGAGACAAAGATTGAGTCTCAATAGATTTGACCACAGGTCATAGATTAGATTTTTTTTTTCTCATTTCCATGCTTTTTCCATAACACCATCCTTGCCTGAGCTATAGACAGGACTTCTTGGGAGCTGCTCATTCATATTGAAGTTCACTGAAATGTCAACAGAAATGGTGAAGGAGAATGACTTGGCTTGTGTTTTTCCAAAAGCAAACCTGGAAAAAAGGATTTGACAGAGGCCAAAGATGTACTAATGAGCATGCTACTTCTCTGGGCAACTGCCTCAGTTTAATGGGAATCCTCTGAGGAAACATGTAGAATATGCTTCAGCATTGTCAGGAGGAGTTGTTTATAGACTCATTGGCTGTGAGTTGCCTACCTGGGGCTTTAAATACTTAGCATTTCCACATTGCCCTGTGCATGTCCTGTGGTGGTAGCAAAAGTTCCCAGGCAGAGAAACTGAGAAGCATGCTCATCACAACTGCAGATGAATCCAGAGGTGGACTGAATTGGTATGAGCATCTGCTGTTGAGGACAATGCAAATCTGATTGTGGCAGAATTTGTTCACCATCACCTGAGAGCAGACTGTCGGAACTTTATTTTTAGACTATGAACTAAGATATTTAGCTAAATGATCAGGTAGCATTCTTTTGAGCACATGCTAGATTGAGGAAAATATATATGTGTGAGAGCTTTTAAACAGTATTTATCATGTCCTAAGAGTAATACAATCTGACAAATATTAGAAGATATAACATTCTGCTTGCATTTTTTTATATCTATAAATTTCTGGAAAATCTTCTAGTTTCTGCTGTGTAGAGAAAACAGAAAGAAAATTATTGAAATATAAATATTATAAGTGGTATTATTTCCTTGTTTTTATTTTTAAAATGTATTATTTAGATCCACCTAGTACCAAAGAGGATTTCATCTGGCTAAAATAAATGATAATTTTTAATGTGTTTTAATAGTGGATATGTCTATATGAATAGTTCATTAAAAGGAAATTATTTATTAGTTCATGCCATGAACTACTGCCATTGTCTCAAGAAACTGTATTTCTCTGCCTGATAAGCAATGGGTCTTTATTAAATAGATGATAGATATTTGTCTTAGTAAAGTTTCATAACTTTCTCTAGGGAACTTATCCACATAGATATGCCTTTAATTGGCAACACAGCTTGTCTGAACTTTATGTTCTCACTGGGTATCTAGCTATTCCAAATTAATTTTTTTAAAAAACAGGATTAATAGAGGATTGCCTGACACATGGCAGTATATTCTTTCCTCTAGATCCTCTGGGTCATCCTGGATAAGGTCAGGTCATAAACACACCCATGTAGACTCATTGCTTTGACTCTTCTAGAACTATTCTCAATCAAAATTTTGTGTTATCCCAATCAGTCTTTTGAGGACCTGTGGATTCACAGGATGAATCCACAGAAATAATGGCCCTCTTACTTATCTGCCACAGGAAAAAAGCTCTGCTTCTTGTTTTAAAAAACAAAACAAACAAACAAAAGTTAGTTTTGCTTTTATCTTCTGAACACCATGCCATGTCACTAGTAATATGTCCTACCTGTTCTGGCTGACTCTGAAGGCAACTGTAGGACTCTGTGCCACACACTTCTGTGTGCCCATATTACATCTGCTACTGTTATTTTTCTACTCATTTTTCCCTTTGCTCAGACTTCTTTAACTACTTTTTATATTTTGTGTTAAATTTATTTGTATAATTTGACTTGAATCCTTTGTAGAACCAAAAAAGAAATAAAAAGGAAGATGGTAGGTAGATAAATGAAATAATTTGTGAGCATTTAGGGAAAAATTGCAGTGGTTGTTGGATCTAGCATGGGTTCATTAAGAATAAACCAGGTCAAATTGACAAATGCAGAAAAAAAAAGTATTCTAATTACAAGAGCATGTTTTTGTTTCTTAGAGTAGATCAGATGCTAACTTAGCTAGGTGAATTCGTCCCTAATTGAACAATGATAACAAAAAATGATTGAATAATGAACCTATGCCATCTTGGAAAGAGGTCATTAGTAACACAGTTCAAAACTCCCTCCTTTGCCCTGATCCTTCAAAGAGATCACAAAAACACTGGGTTCTGAGGATTTAGGATTTCATACAACTGGGAGATATATAATAAAATGGAAAACAATATCAAGACTAAAAAAGTTTGGCAGTCTGAAATGATAGACCAAACATTTCTTAAAAGATTGTGTTTAACAAGGATAGTAATAAAGTCTTGATTTAAGAATTTAATATTTGATTTCACTCTTCAGCTGAGCTAAGCCTAGGGAAAAAAAATTGATTTTATAAGTTCAAAGTGAAGGAGAAAAACCAAGATCTGGATAGACGAGTATTTGTAAAAACAAACAAACAAAAACAAAAAACAACAACAACAAAAAAACAAACCCACAGAGGTTGGGGTCGACAGAGTGGTAGAGTCACGTTAAGTTCATTTAATGGAAGTAAATAAATAACACTGTTAGAAAAAGCTAGAATTATCACTGCAAATATTAATTGAAGTCAATATTCAAATGAAAATCTGCTAAAGTTCCTCTGTACTACCATGACATTGTATTGTTTTGTTTGAAAACCCTGTCTTTTAAGGACAGTATCAAATACACATCTGAAGAAAGAAAATTGAGGTGGCAAAACCTCTGGAAATTTAGCAACAATTGAAGGAACTGAGGCTATTTGATGCACAATATCAGAAATTCAGTTGGAGGTAAAGTGTTTTTTATTTGGAAGAGGGTGGGGGTAGGCTGTTTGTAAATCTTTGGAGGGCTCTCCTGTAGAAGGGGCAGGTGTTCCATGCTCCTCCAAAGAGAAAAATCAGGATTATAAACTGTTTGAGGGTAGAAACCATGTCTTAAGCATCTTTGTACTCTTAGTAGGTCCAATTAAACAGAGGTGTCATTTGATGCTTGTTGGGGTGTGGAACGATGTTACAAGACAGATTCAAGCACTCTATAGGGAAGAACTTTGTAAGAAGCAAAACAGCTGCCTTTTGATATATTGAGTTTCTTACCATTGGAAGTGTTCCAGCTGTGAGGACAATAGTGTATTAGTTCAGATTAAGAACTTGAGTTCTGAGATGAGGCTGACCTAGATTCAAATTTTAGCCCTGTTAATTAGCTGTAGGAACTCAGACAAGTTACTTAACCTCTCTGGATATTACTTTCTGTCTGTAAATTGTGTATAATGGTAGCTGGCTTTCAGATTTTTTGTGATGTTTGAACTCAGATAATTTCTCCCATCCAAGTACTAACCAGACCTGACCCTGCTTGGCTTTCAAGATCAGTTAAGATCGAGTACGTTAAGGGTAGTGTAGCCACAGACAGAATTGAAATAGTTTCTATGAGGAGTTAGTACAGTGCCTGAAACAACAGTAAATATTCAATAAACTGTAATAATTATTCTAGCAGACAGTATTTGACAGTCTTCTAAGAATGTTACAGAAGGGATTTTTGCATGGAATGGGAAGTTGAAAAAATGATCACTTGGTCCCGCTCAATTCAAAGCTTCTCTAATTCTGTGTTTTCTCAACATGATTCTTTTCTATATCTTTAGCATTTTATGAATGGTTCTAGAATTGCATTTATCTCACTAAGTTAAAAGCATAAAGTTAAAGCAATTATCAGGCTCCTCCAGAAAAAAAGAGTATCTCTTGTTTAACTTCACACCTCCAAGTGTTTAGGACACTGATTGACATCTAGTAAATAATACTATATCACTGTATAAACGAATGAATGATCAAATAACTAAATATTTAATTCATCTGAAAACATAGACCATGTCTGCCATCTTTCAATGAAAATTTCAAGTACAAATGCTTGCTCAAATCGGCTTAATCAAACCATGCTTCCTTTAAGCCCAAATAAACAAAGCAAATGATAAAGATTATAATTTATTTGTCTCTAAATAGCTATTTAAGAAATCAACATTCTTTAGCACCTACTACGGGCCAGGTGTTTTTCATAATAATTCTGTTTGGGGCCGGGCGCGATGGCTCATGCCTGTAATCCCAGCACTTTGGGAGGCCGAGGCGGGCGGATCACGAGGTCAGGAGATCGACACCATCCTGGCTAACACGGTGAAACACCGTCTCTACTAAAAATAAAAAAAATAAAATAAAAATAAAAATAAAAATTAGCCGGGCGTGGTGGCTGGCGCCTGTAGTCCCAGCTACTCGGGAGGCTGAGGCAGGAGAATGGCGTGAACCCGGGAGGCGGAGCTTGCAGTGAGCCGAGATCACGCCACTGCACTCCAGCCTGAGCGACAGAGCGAGACTCCGTATCAAAATAATAATAATAATATTAATAATAATTCTATTTGGTCTGTTCACACATCTATGAAGGAAGTAATGTTTCACCCTGCTTGTTGACCAAGAAACGTAGTGTCTGAGAACTTAAAAATATTCAAGTCACACTGCCATTGGGTGGTAATATATAGGATTTGAACCTTAGTCTGACTAATCCAAATGCTAAACGATTCCTTTACAAATATTTTTAATTGCAAAAGCAACATGATATATGCTTATTTTGAAAGTTTTGAGCAGTTAGAAATATATAGACCAAAATATTAAAACTTCTTTTTATAGTTATTGTTTCTTCACCCCCTTCAACCCCCTTCCATCCTCCAACCTATAAAAAATGATCTGTAAAAACATCCTGTTAGACACTCTTCTATGCATTTACACACTTATATGATAACATATATAAACATAACAAAATATAAATGCAATAATAATGATAGAAAGATGTAGTATTTAAAGATACAGTGCCTTTTTTTTTTTTTTCTTTTTGAGACAGGCTCTCACTCTGTTGCCTAGGCTGGAGTGCAGTGGTGCCATCACAGCTCATTGCAGCCTTGACCTCCTGGACTCAGGTTATCCTCCCACCTCAGCTTCCAGAGTAGCTGGGACCACGGGAGCGTGCCACTACGCCTGCAAATTTTTGTGTTTTTAGTAGAGACGGGATTTCACTATGTTGCCTAGGCCGGTCTTAAATCCTGAGCTCAAGCAATCTGCCCGCCTCGGCCTCCCAAAGTGCTGGCATTACAGGTATGAGCAACCGCGCCTGGCCAATAGTGTCTCTTTAATGTTTTGCTCATTTTGTATGCCCTCGATCAACTGCTTGATGATGCCCTAGATCAACTGCTTGATGATGCCCTATGCCTGTTTTTTAAAATGTAGATTTAATTTTTCTAAACAAATTACTGGAACACTTTGCAAATAACATTTATCCTTTCTTATATATATTGTAAACATTTTCTTCAGGTCAGTCATTTGTCTTTTTTTTTTTTCTTTTTGAAACGGAGTCTCGCTGTGTTGCCCAGGCTGGAGTGCAGTGGCACGATCTCGGCTCACTGCAACCTCCATCCCTCCAGGTTTAAGCAATTCTCTGCCTCAGCCTCTGGAGTAGCTAGGATTACAGGCGTGTGCCACCACACCCGGCTAATTTTTTGTATTTTTTTAGTAGAGATGCGGTTTCACCATCTTGGCCAGGCTGGTCTTGAACTCCTGACCTCATGATCCACCTGCCTCGGCCCCCCAAAGTGCTGGGATTACAGGCGTGAGCCACCGCACTGGGCCAGTCATTTGTCTTTAACTTTCTTCACCTATAGGGTTTATTTTGTAGATTAACTGGTCAATCATCTGGATTTTATGTCATCTTAGGAAAGCCCTTTCACACCCAAGACTATAAAAATATTGTCCCATGACTTCTAGCATAATTTTGTTTTTCTATGTTTATATTAGTCTGTATGCAATTTGTTTATGTATACAGTGTGAAAAAGAAATATAACCATTTCTTCCCAAGTAGAGATAATTCTTCAAAATTCAATGGAAAATAATCAATTATTTCTGACTGATTTGAAATACCATACTTACTGCACACTAATCCTTATATGTACATAGTCTGCCTTTGGACTTTATACTCTGTATTGTGCCGCATTCTCTGTTCTGCTATTGTATTCTGTTCTTGTGCCAATACCACATTGTTTTTATCACTATATGTTTATAACATCTGATGAGGAGTTAGTCTACATAGTAGTGTTACTTTTCTAAATGTTCATTTCCTTCTACAGATAAATTTTGGGATCAATTATCAAGGTAATAAAAAGATGTCACTTTGATTAGGACTGCTATGGATTTGTAGATAATTATATGGAGAATCAACACTTTACCATATTGAGGCTTTTCATATGGGAACATGACGTGTCTCTATATTTTTCATGTTTTATAGTCTTTTAGTAAATTTAAAATATATAATTATATAGGTCTTGCATACTTTATTGTTTATTCTAGATATTTTATGGGTTTTAAAAAATTGTCAGTTGAGTAAATGAGATTTTATCTCTATTGATTTTTTGGTATATATCTTATACCTGCGTCATAATTCGTATAGTGGCATATACTGAGAGTCATCTACCAAGAAGCCCTCTGACCACTTCTCTTGCTAACAGAATTCTGATTTTATTTGGAAGTAGCAATGTGCCCATTCCCAGAGGATGAATCATGATTGGTATAAGCCAGTCATATAGCAATCCAAATGATTGTGTAATTTCCTTCATGTTCACTTTCCCTACTACACTTGCCACCTACCTTTACAAAATATGTAATAAGGGAAATTCTGATAAATTTTACTGCTTGGTACAAGGAAAGCCCCTTTGTGCCTATCTCCATTCTTTCTTCCTACTTTCAATGCTGATGAGCTGGCATTATATCTGGTTGGAATAGCCATAACGTAGCCATGAGGCTACAAATATGAAGACAAAAAGGCAATGAGTTGCAATGATGGGGTAGAAATATGGAAACTGCTGAAGTCTTTGAAGATACTACAGAGCCACTGAACATATAGATAAACTGCCTTTTTCCAGATTTCCTTTTAAGGAAACAAGGTTTAAATTTTGGTTAATTCAGTTTCTCTAACTACAGCTAAATGCATCCAAACCTATTTAGATATTACTGACATATGGAAAAATTGTTGATTTTTGTATATATTCCTTGTATTCAGTTCCCTTGCTGAACTCTAATTTTTTAGAGGTTTGTTTTAGAGTTTCGAATTTGCATTTGCAGATAATGAATTTTGGTTTTGATCTTTCTAATACTTCTTACTATTTCTTGCATTATCTAAAAGGCTGGGACCTCAGTGAAGTGTTGAATTGTATCAGTAAATAGCAGGTATTCCTCTTTTTAATTCCTGACCTTAATAGGAATGCCTGTAATATTTCAGTAGTAAGTTTTGTGCTATAAATTTCTGGTTGATACTCTGACAATAAAAAAAGCGTTCTTCTAGTCCTGGATTACTAAAAATTTACTTTTGCTTTGTTGTTTTTTCTTAAGTCAGAAATAAGTATTATATCAACTACTTATTTGGCATATATCAAGATGATCACATGGTAGGTCTACTGCATTCAATTAATGTAATAAGGAACATCAATAGATTTTCTGGTTTTGAGCATCCTTGGTTTTCTGGGATAACCTTATTTATTCATGAAGAATCATTTCTTTCATACAACATGAGATTTTTTATATAAACTATTTTATACAGGAGTTTCAAGTCCATATTTACAAGTAATATTGCTATAAAGTTGTTTATGCATTTGATTTGCTTTGTTGGATGGTGAGATGACAAAATAATACTAGATGCAGAGAATGAGCACAAAATCTTTAAATAGTATAGGACTTTTACTTTAATGTCTAGACTTTCTGTACCCTTAGATTTTCCAATAAGCATTCATTACTTTTATAATAAAGAGTGAATACATATATCTGAGTATATATATATATATAAATTTAAAGATATTAATTTTTACATGACTACAATTGTGTGACATCACATAAGTTTTGATATGTAGTATTCTCACTGTTATTTTTACTTTAAAAGACTAATTTTGGCTTGGTATTCTTTTTACCTAAGGGTTATTGTAAGAGGCTTAATATATATACATACACACAGGAATTATTGGTTTCTGTAAGGTGTACTAGAATCTACCTAGCACTTCTGGTGTGAGGGTTAGGGGATGTTTTCTTTTTTCTATAAAAACTGATTTTTTCTTCTTCCTCTTAAGACAATTTTCATCATTATGTAGACTTTTAAAAAATTATTATTTTCATCTAATATTTCTAAATTCATTGATACAATAGTCTCATAACTTTTTAATCTCCTCTGTGGAGTTATGTCTCTATTCTTGGTTTAATGTTATATATTTGTGTTTTCTTCTTTTGTCATCAGACTTACCTGATTTTCAGTTGATAGTTTAATTGATAGAGTTTACTTGTTCATTTTCATAGAATTTTGTTTCTAAAACTCAATACTTTCTACTTAAAATTTTTGTCTAATTTTAGCTCCTTTAATTGAAAGTGGTTGTGTATTTTTAATATTTTCTATTTTCTAAATAATAAATTTAAGGATATTAATTTTTACGTGACTACAACTGGGTCACATCACATAGGTTTTGATATGTAGTATTCTCAATGTTGTTTTTACTTAAAAAGGCTGCAATTTTGGCTTGGTATTCTTTTTAAGAGGTTTTTTAAACTTTTTAGTATTTTGTGTATTTTGGGTTTGTGTGTTTGTCCTTTAAGTTTATAGTTTTATTGCATTATGTTTGTTATCTACTTTGGATGTTTATTGAACTTGTAGAGATTTTTATGTGTGACTAAATAACCAGCCATTTAAAAAAATGTTCCAAGGGTACTAGAAAAGAATATCAGACACATAGTTCTATACATACCTCCATTTAATCAAGTTTAATGAATGTATCATTCAACTCCTCTATAACTTTGTATTTGAGGATCATTTAATTTGTCATTTTTTGATGAGGCATATCAAAAATCTACAATTATCATTGTAGTTTTGTCAATTCTTCCTTGTATATATAACACATTATACTTCACATACTAAGAAGCCATATTGTACATAGAAATGGTGAATTATTCCTCCTATCAATTAAAACTTACTTCTCTTTTTCATTTGTGTTTTTCACTTTGGATTTTATTTTGTCTGATATTACCATATTTTCTGCTTTCTTTTGTATAGTATTTGCCTGATTTCTGGTTAGTCTATTTTATTTTAAACATTTTTGATCATTTAGTTTTATTTATGATATATTTAAAGAGCTGTTTGCATTTTCCATTTCTCAGACTATCTTATTTCACATATCTCCTTCAGAAACTGACAGATTCTGTGACTCTCAGACAAAAAAAGGAAAAAAAATATATAGAATTGAACAACCCATTTAATAAACTTGATTAAAGTTTGTAGTTATCTATTGGGCGTAACAGTATGAGTTTCTATATCGTGATAAGAAAATTTTATCTATTAACATTTATTCTGAAAATTGACATAAACATATTAACCAAACAGTTTTATTTCTGACATCTTATTCTTATTTCTGGCATTGTGTTCATGTTTTCTATTATATAATCTTGTTTATTTTTTTCTTTTCTTTTACTATGTTACTTGAATTTTCTTGTTCCTCTTCTCTTTCATGAGTTTTAAAGCCACTGCTCTATTATCTTTACTGCTTTCTCAGTGGGATGAAACAATATCTAACAGTGATCAGTAGCCTAAGTTATTAAACTCAGAATCCTGAATCTAAGTGCAGTTGACCCTTGAACAACATGAGTTTGCACAGGTCTACTCATACACAGTTTTTGGTCTACCTATGTCATCTCTGAGATAACAAGACCAACTTCTCCTCTTCCCCCTCCTCCTTAGCCTACTGAACGTGAAGACATGAGGATGCAGAGCTTTACGATGATTCACTTCCACTTAATAAATCGTAAATATAGTCTCTCTTCCTTATGGTTTCTTAATAACATTTTGTTTTCTTTAGCTTACTTTATTGTAAAAATACAGTATATTATACATATAACATACAAAATATGTGTTAACTGTTTGTTATTGTTAAGATTTCCAGTCAATGGTAGGCTATTAGTACTTAAGCTTCCGGGGAGTCAAAAGTTATCTACCAATCTTTGACTGTGGCGGGGGACAGGGTGGTGGGGGTTTGGTGCTCCTAACCCCTGAGTTTTTCAAGGGCCAACTGTATGTTAAGAAAAAAGCTCATGTAAAGCTTTAAATGGATTTGTAACCCACTAATGTATCTGCGATTTTGTAAAAACCACTGTTTTGGGTCATGAGCTAAACTTGTGTACATGCGGACAGAATTCAGTCTGGGAAGTTAATTTATATATATACATACATACATATGTATGTATATGGAAGTTTTGCTCAAATATTTAATAAAGTCTAAGCAATATTTAATATTGTGATCTTTTTCAGTTTAAAGTAAATAAAAATAAAACTGACACATATTTGCTAATGTGGACAGATAAATGGAAACAAATGGATAGTCTAGAAACATATCTTACGATATATAAAATTTTAGTGTGCAATAAAATGACATTTCAACTAAGAGTGTAAAAGGTTTTTTTTTAAATGATGCTGTGACAGTTAATAATTTGGAAAGCAACTATGTTTGATCTCTACCTCATATCATATGTTGAAATAAATTCTACACAGATTGTAAAGTTAAATATGAAGATAAAATTCCTGAAATTGATTAAAAATCAAGTTAATGAGTAGTTATTTTATTAGGATTTCTGAAGGCTTTCCTAATATTATACTCATGGTAGAAAGTGTAAGGAAAATGATTGGTAAGCTTAAACTTAACTTTAACTTCCATATTATCAAAAATTTAACTTCCATATATCAAAAAACATTATTATTAAGTTAAAAGCAAAATTTAAGGCCGGGAGCGGTGGCTCATGCCTGTAATCCCAGCACTTTGAGAGGCCGAGGCGGGCGGATCACGAGGTCAAGAGATCGAGACCATTCTGGCCAACATGGTGAAACCCCGTCTCTACTAAAAGTACAAAAATTAGCTGTGCGTGGTGGCGCTTGCCTGTAGTCCCAGCTACTCGGGAGGCTGAGGCAGGAGAATTGCTTGAACCTGGGAGGTGGAGGTTGCAGTGAGCCGAGATGGCGCCCCTGCACTCCAGCCTGGCGACAGAGTGAGACTCTGTCTCAAAACAAACAAACAAACAAACAAAAAAGCAAAATTTAAAACTAAGAAAACTATTTTATTACATATTATAAAGGGCTAAAATTCTTAATCTATAAATTAACATCATAAATCAGTGTGACACTCACACATCATACCAATAAAAAATAAGCAAAGGGGGCCGGGCGCGGTGGCTCATGCCTGTAATCCCAGCACTTGCACTTTGGGAGGCCAAGGAGTGCGGATCACCTGAGGTCAGGAGTTCAAGACCAGCCTGGCCAATGTGGTGAAACCCTGTCTCTACTAAAATTACAAAATAAAATTAGTCTGGCCTGGTTGCAGGCGCCTGTAACCCCAGCTACTCAGGAAGCTGAGCCAGGAGAATCGCTTGAATCTGGGAGGCAGAGGTTGCAGTGAGCCAAGATCGCGCCATTGTACTCAAGCATGGGCAACAAGAGTGAAATTCTGTCTCAACAACAAAAACAAAACAAAACAAAAACAAACAAGAAAACAAGCAAAGGACACAAACGGTCAAATCACAAAGGGAGAAATACAGAGGAAAGAGTAACAGTTCTGTGTTTGAAGGTTAAATATTTCTCTTTTTTTCAGACTTTTCTGTGTTTGCTAAATTTTCTATAATATATATTACTTACATAATCAAAAAACATGTATATATACATATATACATACACACGCATAAATGCAAAAGACATATTACCATGCTATATCAGGAGTTTAATACTTGACAATGAGGAAAGCTGGTGGGTGCTATCTGGAATCAGTTCTGAGTTCAAATCCCAGTGCTAGTTGAATGATCTGGGGAAAGTCACTGAACCACTTTGAGCCTTGGTTTCTCCAAATATAAAACAGAGGAAATAATCTTCATGTCACAGTTGTGAGAATAGTTTTCGAAATGTATGTGGAAATGCTTTGTGAGCATCATTTACAGATGTTTGAGATTCCTGTTACTGATGCAGTACGTTGGGGCTTTTCCCAGCCTCCAAACACAAACACAGCCTCTGTGCACCGTCTCTTACAAACACTACATCCCTCTGCCTGATAAGGGGTTATGTTCCTGAGATGTCCAGGTGACAGCTGGGGCTGTCTTGCATTTTGCCATCTCCTAAGTGAATGGGACAGACGCTAGCTACAGGCTATAGTCAAGGGAAACTGTAATAAAGATCACTATTGCTGTTCTTTCTCCATGTGAATTGCTTTGACACTCAATTCTAATATTTGCAAAGTTAATGTGATTACCAAATGATCCTGTAATCTGTTGTCTATAACATTCAGAAAGTCCCAACTACTTTCAAATTCTGTGTTCCATCATACGGCAAATGAGAACATTGACCGTCCTTCTTTTTGAATAATAGAAATAATCCCTTTGTGAGTGTTCCATGTTAGAAAATAAATGCAAAAGGACCAGAAGAATCAATTTTTATTTCATATGATCCCTGATAATGCAGAATAGTGCTATATTTTCCATTTATATTTATACGTGAAATAAAAGAATTATATTTTTCCAGCTGAAAAATCATACATTTCTTTTGTCTTTTTTATTTCCTGATCCTAAGCCTATAAAAATCATTTTAGATTAAAAATGAAAAAAAAGGTGGAGGATAACTCCAAATACTCCCAAAGAACAGAAGATATTGATATACAGAGAACACAATTAGCTATTCCACTAATCTTCTGAGGTTAGAAAAGAAAATGAAATGAACTGAAAGTTATCAAAATAATTTAGAGAAAACATAAAAATTATGTACTGATTGACTAAGCAGTTAATTATTATTGGTCACATAAAGTACAGGATTTCATTCCTGAGAAACCTTAGGAAGGAAGGAAGCTAAGAATGGAGGGAGGAAAACGCCAGAGAGGGACAGAGGGAGAAAGTTAAAGAAGGAGTGAGAAAGGGAGGAAAGAAGATAACTGAGCTTTTGGTTCAATACCAGCTCAAGGAAATCTCTTTTGCTAGGATAGGCAAACTCGATGTAGTGGAAATAGCCATGAAGAGGGATTGAGTAGGTCTGGATCTTAGCTTCTTCAGTAACTTGGTATGTAACCCTGGGCAAATCACTTTTCCTTGAGACGATTTTCTCATCTGGAATAGATCAGTGGTTTTCCAATTGTGCTCCAGCAGAACACTGCTGACTAGAAGCTAGACCAAGGAATAGTGGTGGTCTGTGCAATTAACAGAAAAAAGGAAGTGAAATAAAATGTTTCCTATTTGCTGTAGTTTTTTTATTTATATTTATTATAACAATTCCTACGAAATATTGATTTTTCTAAGCATACCGAACTGTTTCTTGTATTTGAGATATCAACAAACAAAGCTTCCTTGATTTTAGTTTTTTTTCTTACAGTTAAAAATAATAGCTTTTGCCCTACTCTCACATAACTGGTAGATTAGTTCTTGCAAAAGACAAAATGAATTAGTAAGTAGCAAATCAACAGCAATAGAAGAATTTAGATACCATTCATTATGTTTAGGTTTTAAAATTTTTAAATTATTGTTGTTGTCTTGTTTATTTAAATAGTAATGGCTTGTTTTTCTAAAATCATGGCTACATAATATGGTTTTGATTTTCTAGACTAGATACCTCTCTTGATTCCAAAATTAGAGCTCTTGCTTCACCTATCCTGCCTCACAGTAAAGGTTTAAGGATTTAGAGCATATCAGCTTACAGATACAGACTCCCATATACTTTATATACATGTTATTCAATCCTCATAGCAATCCTATCAGTATTTAATTTATTCCTCTTTTACAGATGTGGAAACTGATGCATGGAGTCATTAAGACACTTGTCCAAGGTCATCATTAGCAAAAGCAGGAGGTGGAAACCAGTGAGTAGGTGTCCAGTGCTAGATTTGGTTTCATCTTTGTTCTAAACATTAAGTCAATAAAAGTTCACATAAAACCTGTTGTTTGGAATGAACAAATTTTCAACATAAACATCAGAAAGATACTAAAAATAAACCTGTTCTGCCTTCTAGATACTTAAAAAAACAACCAATGAGTAACTTTTTTGAAACACTGTTATTAGTAATGCGCTGAGAAATCAAACCACAACCTAGTGGACAGGAGAGTATGTGTAGATTTCATGTAATGGTGAAAGGGCAAATAACATGAAATCTACAAGGGATCAGTCATGGGCTGGTAGTCTGCAGATGCAAAGTCAACTTTGTGCTAGCATACTGCATACTGGATACCCTGAATTCTGAGTGAAGGCTGTTTGGGAAATCAAATGGATATATCACCAAGAATTTCAAGGTGTGTGTGTGTGTGTGTGTGTGTGTTTAAATAATGATTAACAAAACCTCACAATTAACATTATAAGTTAGAAAAGCATTTGATTTGGTCAGTCTTATGATATGGAAGAAATTTTATGCTGGCAAAATTTATTTGCAAGCTCTGAACTTTTCCTAATTGCAAAAGTGATATATTCATTGTAGAAAAGCTTAAAAATCTGAAAAGCCAGAGTGAAAAAAATGTATAATGTATACATAATTACTTTGCTAGAAAAAATGACATTACCTGGAAAAAATTACTATTAACACTTTGATTATACTTGTCTGATTATTTTTCAGTGCCTAGCCACACACACACACATACACACACACACACACACACACACACACACACACACACACATACAAATATGGGATAATACTATATACATTGTTTTGAAATCTGTTTTTTTGGTTATCAAAAAATCATTTAAATATTTCAGTGTCATTTGACATTTCCTACAGAATTTGATAGGCATACAACTTTCTATCACATAAATGAATATAACTTCTTTGATCACTTGCTGTTAGATATCAATGCTACAATGAGTCTCCTTATACATAAAATTTTGATGACAGTCATGAATATTTCTTTAAATCAATTTCCAAAAATTAAATTCCTGGGTAAAAGACTTTTAATATATCTGGAAAGAATAAAACTTTTCATAGTTCCAGTCTCACCAGTAGAGAATTATAGGGTCTATTTTTTCATATTCTCAACAACTGGGAATTATATATGCTCTTAACAACTGGGAAATCACACACACTCACAAACATTCAGTATGTGGTCATCCCTTGGTATCCAAAGGATATCAGTTCCAGGACCCCCATGGATGCTCAAGTCTCTTATACAATATGGCATAATATTTGCATATAATCTACATACCTTTTCTGATATACTTTAAATCATCTCTAGATTACTTATAATAGTTAATACAATGTAAATGCTATGTTGAACTTTTTTCATATTGGCCATTAGTAATTTTCTTTTGCTAATATTTGGTAATATTTTTCAACTGTAGTGGAATGACAGATTTCAAAATGTAACAGTAAGAATTAAGAGACCTGGATTTTAGTCTTTATACCATTAGCATTGGAAGACCTTAGGTTAAATCATTCAATCTCTTTGGTCCTAAATTTTCTTTTCTATATAAAATATATTTAAAATGCCCACTCAAACCTTCTTCCTGTATTATCTGTGAAGGGAAAAATATCTGTGTGAAAAGGTTACTGTACCACTATTTCATTAGCAGTATTAACATGTTCCTTGAGACACATTTACAATTACCAGTCTTATAAAAAGTAGGTTCTATCATTTAACTTTAAAATGTTTTTAAATACTTAAAAAGATAATTGATAATTCAGTCCAAACAAAGCAGTTGACTCCATAGCATATATATATATATAAACATCATTATATAGCTATATAACTTACATAGCTTATCTATACCTTCTAAATTTTCCAAATTTTTTCTAATCAGAAGTCAACTTGCTGTTGACATGCTGGTATATTTTCATTCAAGGTGATTTTGGGGGTATACAATTTGAAAAAAGTAATTCATGATCATAATTTTGTATCCAGGTCTTTTACCTAATATTGGACCATTTTTCTATTTAATTGCAAATTCTCAAACAATTAAAGCTACTTAATGTGTCATAATGGGAATAGATTATTATCTACCTAACTAGTCCTCTTATCTTAATCACTTATTTTTGATTACTTACTTTATCATTTCTTATATATATATATATATTTTTTTTCATTTCTGTTAAGGTAGATTCTAAGCATAGGAATTAAGGGCACTAAAGTGTGAACATTTAAAGACTTTAAATGTATATTGTTAAATTGCTCTAAAAAAGATTCATGCTAATTTTTATTTCCTATTAAGAATATACAAAGAAATGACTTAATTTGGAGATATACTAACCACTACTATGCCACATAATTTTTTCTGTAAAATTTTTTAAATTATAAAAGTGATTCATGTTTGTACACACACACACAAACACAAATTGTAACAACACTTTCCTCCCCATCTTTCTCACTCCTTACACAGTTTAGCAAGTATACTATCAGACATTTT